>NW_003571056.2:877240-1064304 GCF_000001405.40 Homo sapiens
AAGCTTTGCGGCAGTACAGCCCAGGTAATTTGCTGAGCTTGATCGGTGTCAGGGTCAGTCCAAGTGAAAGCGAAGAGAGGCTGGGATGAAGGGTGCAAAGGAATAGTAAAGAAAGCACGTTTGAGATCCAGAACAGAATAATGGGTTGTAGAGGCAGGTATTGAGGATAGGAGAGTATATGGGTTTGGCACTACGGGGTGGATAGGCAAAACAATTTGGTTGATAAGGCGCAGATCCTGAACTAATGTGTAAGCCTTGTCTGGTTTTAGGACAGGTAAAATGGGAGAATTGTAAGGGGAGTTTATAGGCTTTAAAAGGCCATGCTGTAGCAGGCTTTAATCCTTTTAAAGCGTGCTGCGGAATGGGATATTGGCGTTGAGTGGGGTAAGGGTGATTAGGTTTTAATGAGATGGTAAGGGGTGCATGATCGGTCACCAAGGAGGGAGTAGAGGTATCCTATACTTGTGGGTTAAGGTGGGGGGATGCAAGAGGAGGAAGCAAAGGAGGCTTTGGATTGGGAAGAATGGCAGCAATGAGATATAGCTGTAGTCCAGGAACAGTCAGGGAAGCAGATAATTTAGTTAAAGTGTCTCAGCCTAATAAGGGAACTGGGCAGGTGGGGATAACTGAAAAGGAGTGCTTGAAAGAGTATTGTCTAAGTTGGCACCAGAGTTGGGGAGTTTTAAGAGGTTTAGAAGCCTAGCTGTCAATACCTACAACAGTTATGGAGGCAAGGGAAACAGGCCCTTGAAAAGAAGGTAATGTGGAGTGGGTAGCCTCCATATTGATTAAGAAGGGGACGGGCTTACCTTCCACTGTGAGAGTTACCTAGACTGTGATGGTCCTGTAGGCTTCTGAGGCGATCGGGATCGGGCAGTGTCAGTCTTCAGCTGCTAAGCCGAGAAGATCTGGGAAGGAGTCAGAGAGCCTTGGGCCAGAGTTCTAGCTGCTCTGGGAGTGGCTGCCAGGTGAGTTGAACAGTCCGATTTTCAGTGGGGTCCCGCACAGATGGGATGCGGCTTAGGAGGAATCCCAGGCTGTGGACATTCCTTGGCCCAGTGGCCAGATTTCCAGTACTTGTAGCAAGCTCCTGGGGGAAGAGGTTCTGGAGGAACCCCTGGCAGCTGCGGTTCAGGCGTTTGGAGTTCTCGTGTGCTGGAGATGTGGCTGGGGTTTGTCTCATCTGGATACTGGAGTGGAGGCAAGGAATTGCAACTCAGAAATATGTTGCTATTTGGCTGCCTCTACTCTATTACTGTACACCTTGAAGGCGAGGTTAATTAAGTCTTGTTGTGGGGTTTGAGGGACAGAATTTAATTTTTGGAGCTTTATTTAATGTTGGGAGCAGATTTGGTAATAAAATGTATATTGAGAATAAGACGGCCTTTTGACTTAGGGTCTAGGGCTGTAAAGCGTCTCAGGGTTGCTGCCAAATGAGCCATGAACTGGGCTGTGTTTTTAAATTTGATGAAAAAGAGCCTAAACACTATCTGATTTGGGAGAGGTCAGATAAAGAAAAAGGAGCATTAACCTTGACTATGCCTTTAGCTTCAGCCACCTTTTTAAGAGGAAATTGCTGGGCAGTTGGGGGAGGGCTAGTCATGGAATGGAACTGTAAGCTGGACCGGGTGTGAGGAGGGGAGGTGATAAAAGGATTATAGGGTGGAGGAGCGGAGGCTGAGGAAGAATTGGGACCCAGCTCGGCCTGGCGAGGAGGGGAGATGTCAGATGGGTCTGTAGAAAAGGAAGATTAGAAAGACTCAGCGATGCTTGGGGTTGGGACTGACGGGACAGGCGGGAGGGAAAGAAGGAAGATTTGGGACGAGTTGCACTGGGCATAGAGACTAGGGAGGGACCGATGTGTAAAAGAATGCCTGGATGTCAGGCACCTCAGACCATTTGCCCATTTTACAACAAGAATTATTTAGATCTTGTAGGATGGAAAAATTGAAAGTGCCGTTTTCTGGCTATTTGGAACCACTGTCAAGTTTGTATTGGGGTCAAGCAGCATTGCAGAAGAAAATAAGGCATTTAGGTTTTAGGTCAGGTGTGAGTTGAAGAGGTTTTAGGTTTTTAAGAACACAGGCTAAGGGAGAAGAAGGAGGAATGGAGGGTGGAAGGTTGCCCATACTGAAGGAGGCAAGCACAGAGAAAAGAGAGAGTAGAGACATGGAGGGAAGGGGTTCAGGGGTTCTTACCTTCCAGAAAAGCGGGAAAGGGGTCAGGGCACAGAAGTAAGGGATTGGGGTGCAGAGACAAGAGGTCGGGGTGTGGAAATAAGGGATCGGGGTGCAGAGATAAGACGTCAGGGCACAGAAATAAGGGATCGGGGGATTCTTGCCCCCTAGAAAAGCGGTACTTGCCACTAAGGGTGAAGGAGAAGGGGTTGGGGGGTTCTTGCCCCCCCAGAAAAGCAGAGAAGGGGTAGAGACACAGAGAAGGAGTTGGGGGTTCTTGCCCCCCCAGAAAAGCAGTACTTGCCACTAAGGGTGAAGGACCAAGGCAGGCATCCCCATGTGGTCAGACACCTCTGAAACGTGGGTGAATAATCAGAGAGGTGTCCCTGCGTGATTAAACACCAAGGGAAGGCTGCCTTCCCGAGTCCATGACCGGCGCTGGAGTTTTGGGTCCACGAATAAAGCGCGTCTCCTGTCTCTACCAGAAAAGGAAAGGAACTGAAATTAAGAGAAGGGAGAGATTGAAGAGTGGAAAGGAGAAAGTGGTTGAGGGATAGTGAGAGAGGTTGGAGAAGAGAGTAAAAAGAGGCTGCTTACTGGATTTAAAATTGGTGAGATGTTCCTTGGGCTGGTTGGTCTGAGGACGAGAGGTCGTAGGTGGATCTTTCTCATGGAGCAAAGAGCAGGAGGACAGGGGATTGATCTCCTAAGGAAGATCCCCTGATTCGAGTTATGGCACCAAATTTCACTCACGTCCGTGTGAAGAGACCACCAAACAGGATTTGTGTGAGCAACAAGGCTGTTTATTTCACCTGGGTGCAGGCGGGCTGAGTCCAGAAAGAGAGTCAGCAAAGGGAGATAGGAGTGCGGCCGTTTTATAGGATTTGGGTAGGTAAAGGAAAATTACAGTCAAAAGGGGGTTGTTCTCTGGCGGGCAGGAGTGGGGTTCACAAGGTGCTCAGTAGGGGAGCTTTTGAGCCGGGATGAGCCAGGAGAAGGAATTTCATAAGATAATGTCATCACTTAAGGCAAGAACAGGCCATTTTCATTTCTTTCGTGGTGGAATGTCATCAGTTAAGGCAGGAACCGGCCATCTGGATGTGTACATACAGGCCACAGGGGGATATGATGGCTTAGCTTGGGCTCAGAGGCCTGACAGTCTGGATCACCTGACCTGGTGATCCGCACACCTCGGCCTCCCAAAGTGCTGGGATTACAGGCATGACCCACTGCACCTGGCCTTAGAAAACTTCTTAAATATTAAAATGTATGTTATGTGTATTTTGCCACAATTTTTGAAAAGTACCTTCTGGTGTTTAGAGACAGAAGATGAGTGGTTGCCTAGGGCCGGGAGAGTGAGGGGATCGTGGTGATGGGCAGCTGGTCGGCATGGGGTTCTGAAGGGCAGTGATGACAACATTCTAAAATTAGACTGTGTTGACGGTTGCACCAACTCCGTGAATACCACAAAATTTAAACCATTGAATTATGCACTTTTAATGGGTAATTGTATGGCATGTAAATTATATCTCAATAAAGTTATATTTTTAAATACCAAAAAAAGGCCGGGTGCGGTGGCTCACGCCTGTAATCCCAGCACTTTGGGAGGCCGAGAAGGGCGGATCACGAGGTCAGGAGATGGAGACCATCCTGGCTAACATGGTGAAACCCCATCTCTACTTTGAAAAAAAAAAAAAAAAAAAAAAGATTACCCGGACGTGGTGGTGGGCACCTGTAGTCCTAGCTACTCAGGAGGCTGAGGCAGGAGAATGGCATAAACTCGGGAGGCAGAGCTTGCAGTGAGTCGAGATTGCGCCACTCAGGAGGCTGAGGCAAGAGAATGGCATAAACCCCGGAGGCAGAGCTTGCAGCGAGCCGAGATTGCGCCACTGCACTCCAGCATGGGTGACAGAGCAAGAGTCCATCTCAAAAAAAAAAAAAAAAAGATTAGTAATATCCTCTGTGTCACTTACCACTTAAGTGATTGAATCACGACTTGAAATTCATCATCTCAAACATGGCTTAGAGTCTGTAGAGGGGGGACAGTCCCAGGAATGCTGGTGTGGGCTTAAGGCTGAATTAAATAGATCCAGATGGCTCACACCTGTAATCCCAATACCTTGGGAGGCCGAGGCAGGTGGGAGGCTGAGGCAGGCGGATCACTGGAGCTCCTGGAGCGAAGAAAGGATGCTAGTGGAAAAACTGGTGAAATCAGAATAAAGTCTATAGTTTTATTTTTTAAAGGAGGCTGGGCGTGGTGGCTCATGCCTCTAATCCCAGCACTTTGGGAGGCTGAGGCAGGTGGATCAGTTGAGTTCAGGAGTTCGAAACCAGCCTGGCCAACTTGACGAAACCCCATCTCTACTAGAAATACAAAAATTAGCTGGGCGTGGTTGTGGGTGCCTCTAATCCCAGCTACTCAGGAAGCTGAGGCAGGAGAATTGCTTGAACCCAGGAGGCGGAGGTTGCAGTGAGCTGAGATCACACCATTGCACTCCAGCCTGGGCTACAGAGCAAGATTCCATCTCCAAATAAGAGAGACATGACAATTAAATAAATTGTGTAATCTTGGATTAAATCCTAAACCAAATATATGTCACTGGTAAAACAAGTGGTGAAATTTGAATAAAGTGGATAGATCAGACAATAGTGTCATATCAGTGCTATTTCTTGACCTTGAACATTAATAACAGAATGTCCTTGGTTTTGGGAAATATAACCTGAAGTGATTAGAGGTTTAGGGCATCATATGCAAATTAGACACACTTTCTTCGGGGAGAGAGGGAGAGGGAGAGAGGCTGAATGATGAAGCAAATGTGGTAAAATGCTAACTTTGGGGAAATCTGGATGAAGAAATTACAGATTTTTTTTTTTTTTATAGACAGGGTAACACTCTGTCACCCAGGCTAGAGTGCAGTGGCACGATCATGGCTCACTGCAGCTTCTACCTCCCTGGGCTCAGATGACCCTCTCACCTCAGCCTCCCAAGTAGCTGGGACTATAGGCGCACAGCACCACACCTGGCTAATTTTTGCATTTTTTTTTCCCCCAGGCTCGTCTCAAGCAATCCACCCACCTCGGCCTCCCAAAGTGCTGGGATTACAGGTGTGAGCCACTGCACCTGGCCAGAAATTCTTTAAACTATTTTTGCAAGTCTGGAATTATGTCAAAATTAAAAGCTCAAAATAATAAAAGACAATATTCTTATATTTCTTTGGTGAAGGTAACTATGTTATGGCTGAGAGGGTGGCTGAGGTCTGAGGATCCAGCCTACATAAGTCTCCTCCATAGAGGGCATCCAAGCGCTCCGTAGGGGGAAGGATAAAGAAAACACCCAGAGTTATGACAGCTGTGTAAGGGGAAACGCCAGCACCGAGTACTGAATCTTCAGTAAATAAGAAGGAGGCGGGCTGGGTGTGGTGGCTCACGCCTGTAATCCCAGCACTTTGGGAGGCTAAAGTGGGCTGATCACTTGAGGTCAAGAGTTCGAGACTAGCCTGGCCAACATGGGGAAACCCTGTCTCTACTAAAAATACAAAAATTAGTCGAGTGTGGTGGCACACGCCTGTAATCCCAGCTACTTGGGAGGCTAGAACAGGAGAATTGCTTGAACCCAGGAGGTGAAGGTTGCAGTGAGCTGAGATTGCACCACTGCACCCCAGCTTGAGGGACAGAGTGAGATTCCGTCTTAAAGAGAAAAAAAAAAGAATTAGCACATTTGTTTGCCTCAAGAAGATACAACTAGTCTTGTACAGTAGTCACATGTATCCACCAGGATATATTCCAAGGCCCCAGTGGATGCTGAAAACTACATAGTACCTTACATGTATATATATATGTATATACATATATACACATATACGTATATGTATACATACATGTATATATGCATGTATGTATATACATATATGCATATATACATACATGTATATATACATGTATGTATATACATATATGTATATGTATGTATACACGCATACATGTATGTATACACGCATATATGTATGTATATACATATATGTATGTATACACGCATACATGTATGTATATACATATATGTATGTATACACGCATACATGTGTGTATACATATATATGCATGTATGCATGTGTGTATATATACATATATGTGTATATATACGCATATACATGTATGTGTATATATGCATGTGTATATATACATGTACGGTACTATGCAGTATATATACACATATATGTATATATGTATACATATATGTATAAATGTATATATGTGTATATATATAAAAGGTATATATGTATATATGTGTGTATATATAAAATGCATGAATTTCTTTTTTCTTACTGTAGATCTTAACAACTTCTGCATAGAATTTTTTTTTATTAAGTGGAGAGTTAGTTACTTACTTAAAAGAAATGTTTCTTGGCTGGGTGTGGTGGCTCACACCTGTAATCCCAGCACTTTGAGAGGCCGAGGCAGGAAGATTCACTTGAGGTGAGGAGTTGGAGACCATCCTGGCCAACGTGGTAAAAACCGGTCTCTACTAAAAGTACAAAAATGAGCTGGGCGTGGTGTTGGGTGTCTGTAGTCCCAGCTACTCAGGTGGCTGAGGCAGGAGAATTGCTTGAACCCACAAGGCAGAGGTTGCAGTGAGCTGAGATCACACCACTGCACCACAGCCTGGGCAACAGAGCAAGACTCTGTCTCAAAAAAAAAAAAAAAAGAAAGAAAAAGAAAAAGAAAAGAAATGTTTCTTTTCTTATTAAGTTCTTTAAATGAAAAGCTTTTCTTTTCACTTTTATTTTATTGAAACATTATAACACTATCTTTGAAGAAGTTAGTGTTATCATTCCATTCTGATGAAACCAATTAACTTATCCAAGCATATGTATACTGTACACAGAGAAGCCAACGTCAAAACCCCTATTTTTATCTTTTTAGATTCAGCAGATACATGTGCAGGTTTTTTATGAGTATATTGCATGATGCTGAGGCTTGCATTAATGATCTAGTCACCAAATAGGTAGATTTTCAAGCCTTGCTCCCCTCCTTACCCAATGTTTAGCGCTCTCACTTATAAGTGAGAACATGTGGTATTTGGTTTTCTTTTCTTTTTTTTTTTTTTTTTTGAGATGGAGTTTCACTCTTGTTGCCCAGGCTGGAGTACAATGGCACCATCTCGGCTCACTGCAACCTTCACCTTCCAGGTTCAAGCAATTCTCCTGCCTCAGCCTCCCGAGTAGTTGGGACTACAGGCATGTGCCACCACACCCGGCTAATTTTGAATTTTTAGTAGAGACAGGGTTTCTGCATGTTGGTCAGGCTGGTCTCGAACTCCCGACCTAAGGTGATCCACCTGCCTCAGCCTCCCAAAGTGCTGGGATGACAGGCGTGAGCCACCGTGTCTGGCCAGTATTTGGTTTTCTGTTTCTGTGTTAACTCGCTTAGGATAATGGCCTCTAGCTGCATCCATGTTGCTGCAAAGGACATAATCTTGTGATTTTTCAAGGCTGTATAGCGTTCTGTGGTGTATACATATCACATTGTCTTTATCCAGTCCACCTCTGATGGGACCTGGGTGGATTCCATGTCTTCACTATTGTGAATCCTGCTGCAATGAACATACAAGTGCATGTGTCTTTTTGGTAGAATGATTTATTTTCCTTTGGCTATATACCCAGCGATGGGATTGCTGGGCTGAATGGTAACTCTGTTTGTAGTTCTCTGAAATATCTCCAAACCAAACTGCTTTCCACAGTGGCTGAACTAATTTACACCCACCAACAGTGTATAAGTGTCCCCTTTGCTCCACAATCTCACCAGCATCTGTTAATTTCTGGCTTTTCAGTAATGGCCATTCTGACTGGTGTGAGATGGTATTGTTGAGGGATAATTTAGGAATCAGAGAGACCGAGGGGTTGAGGAGGATTTATTATTATTATTATTATTTAGGTGCACCGGCCCCAGTCAGATTAACATCCAAAAAGACTGAGGCTCGAACAGAGAGTCCGGTTACCTTTTAAGCATTTTGTGGGGTTGGGGGAGATCTGTGCAGGGGGAAGCATATTACAGAAGCAAGAAACAAAGGCAGTTATTCAATTGAGACATGCATCACATTATTCCTTACTTTTCAAGAAAAATATGTTTTACGACTTGAGGTTATCCTGTCTAGTGATCTTGCAGCCGCACGGCAAGAGAAACAGGGTCTTCACAATGCCTGGGAAAGGGAGAGATAAGGCTCACTAGCCACAGACAGAAAAACAGGCAGTTCATGTTTAAAGGACTCCACCTCTTTCTCTTCCTCGGGGGGAACTGGGTTTTCTTAAATACAACTGAGTTTTTGTTTACACATTCTGTAATTTCTTTTAATTCCTGTTCCAGTATCTCACTGTGAAACTCCCTATGTTTTTATACGATTCTCAGGGGGTTTCCTCTGGGCATGATTGGGCACAACTTCCCACAGTCAGCTCTGGGTACGACCTCCACATTGCAGAATTGAGAAGTTGACCCAGAAATGCATTTTGGGCTGAGCAGACAATTGTCAGAGTTGCTGGCTAGACCACAGATGTGTCAGAGGGACCACGGCCTTTCTGTAAGCTCATGGTCAGAGGCGGAGGGGAGTTGTGAACGTTCTGATGAAAGCAGTCAACGTGAAAGCGCTCTGGTGATGGGCGCTGGTGCTCACCCACCACTTCCTGTGTATCTATCTCCCTGGCCCGCCCGGCTCAGTCCCCACTGCTCAGCACTAGGCCGGCAGAATCTGAGCGATGTCTTCCACACTCCCTGCCCTGCTCTGCGTCGGTGAGTTCTGGCGTGGAAGGGGAATGGGATCACGGTGTGCCTGGGAGGCAACAGGTCTCATTACTCCCGTCTTCCAGGGCTGTGTCTGAGTCAGAGGATCAGCGCCCAGCAGCGTGAGTCCTTCCTTCAAAGCCCAGGGTCACTCTTCCGGGTTCAGGCCAAGCTCCTTCCACCCAAGCACGGCTGGGGAGAGGGGACAGGGTGCTGGCTTCCCAGGAGAGCTTGGGGCCAGCAGCTGGGTGGAGCCTAAGGTTGGGGGGAGGGGGCTCCGCTGGAACTCCAGCCTCTGATTCCCTTCCAGAGACTCTCCCAAAACCGTTCATCTGGGCCGAGCCCCATTTCATGGTTCCAAAGGAAAAGCAAGTGACCATCTGTTGCCAGGGAAATTATGGGGCTGTTGAATACCAGCTGCACTTTGAAGGAAGCCTTTTTGCCGTGGACAGACCAAAACCCCCTGAGCGGATTAACAAAGTCAAATTCTACATCCCGGACATGAACTCCCGCATGGCAGGGCAATACAGCTGCATCTATCGGGTTGGGGAGCTCTGGTCAGAGCCCAGCAACTTGCTGGATCTGGTGGTAACAGGTAACTGTCCGGTTCTCTAACTGGAGAGTGATCTCAGTCTGCATCCGGGATGCAGCATCATCTATGAACTCTTCCAAGCCCCACTCAGACACTGCTTGTCTCGGTAGGAGGCTGGAAGGAGGGGTGATCCCCATCACAATCCTTGCCTACAAGGGGTTGTCTGCAGACCGTGTCTCTACGTCCTAGGAGCAGATGTGTCCTCAGTCAGTTTCTCCATGACACAGATTCTGAGATAGATATTTGTATGCAGGGGTATGACTGAGGAATGTCCTCAAAAACAATGCCTGTGGGCTAGGCGCAGTGGCTTACACTTTGCTTCCCTCACCCATCACAGGTGGTGGGTTTTTTTTTTTTTTATCTGTTTTGAGACGGAGTTTCGCTCTTGTCACCCAGGCTGGAGTGCAGTGGTGCAATCTCCAGTCACTGCAACCTCCACCTCCTGGGTTCAAGTGATTCTCCAGCCTCAGCTTCCCAAGTAGCTGGGATCACAGGCACCCACCACTACGCCACATTTTGTATTTTTAGTAGAGATGGGGTTTCACCATGTTGGCCAGGGTGGTGTCGAACTCCTGACCTCAGATGATCCGCCCGCCTCACCCTCCCAAAGTGCTGGGATTACAGGTGTGAGCCATCACACCCAGCCAGGTGGTGGTTTTCTAAAAAAAAAAAAAAAAATTAGCTTTTTTTTTTTTTAACAATATGGTTGTTTATTATTATTATCAAGTATTATACATAGTTACATATACATACATAATTGTATGTGCTATACAATTAGGTTTGTTTATACCAGCAACACCAAAAACACATGAGCAATACTTTGTGCTAGGAAGGCTATGATGTCATCAGGCAATAGGAATTTTTCAGTTTCATTATAATCTTATG
The DNA here is from genome assembly GCF_000001405.40 of Homo sapiens. NCBI lineage: Eukaryota > Metazoa > Chordata > Mammalia > Primates > Hominidae > Homo > Homo sapiens. The sequence goes on from NW_003571056.2 coordinate 887,666, forward strand.
GGACCACCATCATATATGTGGTACATTGTTGGCCAAAATGTCATTATGCAGCTCACAACAGTATTTCATGTCCATTCAAATATCTTCTTTTGTGAAATGTCTATTTAAATCTTTTGCCTATTTTTAAATTGGGTTGCTTATATTTTGATTGATTAGGAAAAGTTATTTCTATATTCTGTGTCATATACTTGTGTTGAAATATATATATTTTTTGTCTGTGCCTTTTCATTTGCTCAGGGTCTTTGGACCTTGTTTGGAGGTTCTGGCAGGGGAACACAGCTACTCATTTATTCTTTTTTTTTTAATTTTTTTAGTATTTATTGATCATTCTTGGGTGTTTCTCGGAGAGGGGGATTTGGCAGGGTCATAGGACAATAGTGGAGAGAAGGTCAGCAGATAAACATGTGAACAAAGGTCTCTGGCTTTCCTAGGCAGAGGTCCCTGCGGCCTTCCGCAGTGTTTGTGTCCCTGGGTACTTGAGATTAGGGAGTGGTGATGACTCTTAAGGAGCATGCTGCCTTCAAGCATCTGTTTAACAAAGCACATCTTGCACCGCCCTTAATCCATTTAACCCTGAGTGGACATAGCACATGTTTCAGAGAGCACGGGGTTGGGGGTAAGGTCATAGATTAACAGCATCCCAAGGCAGAAGAATTTGTCTTAGTACAGAACAAAATGGAGTCTCCTATGTCTACTTCTTTCTACACAGACACAGTAACAATCTGATCTCTCTTTCTTTTCCCCACATTTCCCCTTTTTCTATTCGACAAAACCGCCATCGTCATCATGGCCCATTCTCAATGAGCTGTTGGGTACACCTCCCAGACGGGGTGGCGGCCGGGCAGAGGGGCTCCTCACTTCCCAGACGGGGCGGCCGGGCAGAGGCGCCCCCCCACCTCCCAGACGGGGCAGTGGCCGGGCGGGGGCTGCCCCCCAACCTCCCGGACGGGGCGGCTGGCCGGGGCTTTTTTTTTTTTTTTTTGAGACAGTCTCGCTGCAGTGCAGTGGTACAATCTCAGCTCACTGCAACCTCTGCCTCAGCCTCAATTCTCCTGCCTCAGCCTCCCAAGTAGTTGAGATTACAGGCATGTGCCACCACACCCGGCTAATTTTTGCATTTTTAGTAGAGACGGGGTTTCACCATGTTGACCAGGCTGGTCTCAAACTCCTGACCCAGGAGGTCGAGTCTTCAGTAAGCAAAGATAGTGCCACGGCGCTCCAGCCTGGGAAACAGAGCAAGACCCTGTATCATTTTTAAAAATGGTTTTAGACGGTAAATCTTCTATTGTGTGTATTTGACCAAAATAATAATTAAAAAAAAAAAAAAAGCTGGCTGCCAGGCATGGTGGCAGGCCCCTGTAGTCCCAGCTACTTGGGAGGGTGAGGCAGGAGAAACGCTTGAACCCGGGAGGCAGAGGTTGCAGTGAGCCAAGATCGTGTCACTGCACTCCAGCCTGGGCGACAGAGAGAGACTCCATCTCTAAAGAAAGAAAAAAAAAAATAGCTGGCTGCTCATCACTGAGTTTCTGGTGTGGTGGCCCCACCTTCTCTCATAGAAATGTATGACACACCCACCCTCTCGGTTCATCCTGGACCCGAAGTGATCTCGGGAGAGAAGGTGACCTTCTACTGCCGTCTAGACACTGCAACAAGCATGTTCTTACTGCTCAAGGAGGGAAGATCCAGCCACGTACAGCGCGGATACGGGAAGGTCCAGGCGGAGTTCCCCCTGGGCCCTGTGACCACAGCCCACCGAGGGACATACCGATGTTTTGGCTCCTATAACAACCATGCCTGGTCTTTCCCCAGTGAGCCAGTGAAGCTCCTGGTCACAGGTGAGGAAATGCTCAATTCCCCACACCCTTCGCCGCCATGTCCTACCTGGAGCCCTGAGGGATCCCCAGAGAGTGATGGGGAGGGTGTCCAAGGGACGTCCACTTCCTGGGTGCCTGGTTGGTCATGTGAGGAAGAACACCAGAAGCAGGAAGGAGGAGGGAGCAGAGAAAGGAATGGTAAGGCGGGTGGATCACAAGGTCAGGAGTTCGAGACCAGCCTGGCCAAGACGGTGAAACCCCGTCTCTACTAAAAATACAGAAATTAGCCAGACGCAGTGGCGGACACCTGTAGTCCCAGCTACTCAGGAGGCTGAGGCAGGAGAATCGCTTGAACCCGGGAGGCGGGGGTTGTAGTGAACCGAGATCATACCACCGCACTGCAACCTGGGCGACAGAGCAAGACTCCATCTCAAAAAAAAAAAAAAAAAAAAAAAGAATGGCAAGACCGGAGGAAACCAAAAACCCTTACTTTTTTTTCTTTATCTCCTTTTCCAGGCGACATTGAGAACACCAGCCTTGCACCTGAAGACCCCACCTTTCCTGGTGAGTAACTGGTCCTTCTAAGCTCAGACGAGCAATCAGAGCCTCCCAGTGACACTAAAAACGTGGCATTCATTCAAAATATTCATCGAGGCCAGGCGTGGTGGCTCACGCCTGTAATCCCAGCACTTTGGGAGGCCGAGATGGTGCATCATTTGAGGTCAGGAGTTTGAGACCAGCCTGGCCAACATGGCGAAACCCTGTCTCTACTAAAAATACAAAACTTAGGCTGGGCATCATGGCTCACACCTGTAATCCCAACACTTCGGGAGGCCAAGGTGGTTGGATCACAAGGTCAGGAATTCGAGACCAGCCTGACCAACATGGTGAAACCCCATCTCTACTAAAAATACAAAAATTAGCCGGGCCTGGTGGTGCTCGCCTGTAATCCCAGCTACTCAGGAGGCTGAGGCAGGAGAATTGTTGAACCTGGGATGCAGAGGTTGCAGTGAGCTGAGATCGCGCCACTGCATTCCACTCCACTGCACGACACAGCGAGACTCCATCTCACAGAAAAACAAAAACAAAACTATTATATATATATATTCATCAAGTGCATAGTATACACAGTGAACTACACTGTAACAGTCAGCCAGGCAGATATCTTGACTCTGCAGCACTTAGATTCTAGCAGGAGGAGACACACCATCGGTCAACGTCAGGATAGCACACAGGAGGGAATGATGCTATGGAAGGAAAAGACAAAGTAGAACAGACTTACAGTGATTGAAATGGCAGCTAGCAATATTAAATAGGTTTGTCCAGATGGACCTCACAGAGAAAGAAGGCATCTGAGCAAATGCGTTCAGACTTGAGTTAATCATGTGGCTGTCAGGAGAAAGGAGGCTCTGGAGAGAATGAAATGGCATCTGCCTGTGCCCTGGGGCAGGAAGATAACTGGGGTAATACAATAATAACTATGAGGCCAGGAGGGTTGAAAATGATGTTTGGAAGATGACGGTGGGATGGGCCTGGGGCGCACGGCTAGGATTACAGGAGTGAGGCCCGGCGCGGTGGCTCACGCCTGTAATCCCAGCACTTTGGGAAACCGAGGCAGGTGGGTCATGAGGTCAGGAGATCAAGACCATCCTGGCTAACACGGTGAAACCCTGTCTCTACTAAAAAAAAATACAAAAATTATCCGGGCGTGGTGGCGGGCGCCTGTAGTCCCAGCTACACAAGAGGCTGAGGCAGGAGAATGGCGTGAACCCGGGAGACGGAGCTTGCAGTGAGCTGAGATCGCGCCACTGCACTCCAGCCTGAGCGACAGAGTGAGACTCCGTCTCAAAAAAAAAAAAAAAGAAAAAGAAAAAGAAAAAAAAATAGTGAGACTTTGAATTTCACTATGTGTGTATGTGTGAGGAGAAAGAGGTAATGATGACTTAATGAGGAAAATGAGGCTTAAATAGAAGACGGGCTGGGCCGGGTGGCTCCCGCATGTAATCCCAGCACTTTGGAAGGCAGGGGCGGCTGGATCACTTGAGGTCAGGAGTTCAAGACCAGCCTGGCCAACACAGTGAAACCCCATCTCTACTAAAAATACAAACATGAGTTGGGTGTGGTGGCGCACGCCAGTAATTACAGCTACTCGGGGCTGAAGCAAGAGGATTGCTTGAACTCGGGAGGCGGAGGTTGCAGTGAGCTGAGATCACACCACTGTACTCCAGCCTCAGAGGCCTGTCATCCCAGCCCTTTGGGAGGCCGAAGCAGGCAGGTCATCTGAGGTTGGGAGTTCAAGACCAGCCTGGCCAACATGGCAAAACCCCGTTTCTACTAAAAATATGAAAAAAATTACCTGGGTATGTGGTGTGTGCCTGTAGTCCCAGCTACTCCAGAGGCTGGAACACAGTGAGACTCTATCTCAAAAAAAAAAAAAATAGAAGACATGACTGGTGCAAAGACACATGCTCACAAGTGCTAGAATGGAATTCCTCGTCAGGTTCGTCCATCTGTGGACCCTTCCACTTTACCTGCTGGATGAAGCTCCTGGGACCCGCAGGGTGAGGTGGGACCTTGTAAAGCTGCAGAACGTCATGGGGTAGACCCAAGGGAAGGAGTGCTGGGGTGGAGGAGGTCAAAACCATCCTCTTTTCTTCACTTCCCTTATCATCAGCAGACACTTGGGGCACCTACCTTTTAACCACAGAGACGGGACTCCAGAAAGGTAAGTAGACAGCTGGGGCCATAGGCTCTGAAGGAAGGGGCTGGGCATAGAGTAGACCTAGGAAGGGAATCTAAATGGGAACAAGAGGGTGTCCTTGGCCAGGCGCAGTAGCTCACACCTGTAATCTCAGCCCTTTGGGAGGCCGAGGCGGGCAGATCATCTGAGGTCGGGAGTTCAAGACCAGTCTGGCCAACATGGCGAAATCCCATCTCTACTAAAAATACAAAAAAATTAGCCAGGCGTGGTGGCGTGTGCCTGTAGTCCCAGCTACTTGGGAGGCTGAGACAGGAGAATAGCTTGAACCCAGGAAGTGGAGGTTGCAGTGAGCCGAGATCGTGCCATTGCACTCCAGCCTGGGCGACAAGACTGAGGCTCTGTCTCAAAAAAAAAAAAAAAAAAAAAAAAAAAAAAAAAAAAAAAGAGGGTGTCCTTACATCCCTGTCAGCGATCACCCTGTTCTCCTGCCTACAGACCATGCCCTCTGGGATCACACTGCCCAGAATCTCCTTCGGATGGGCCTGGCCTTTCTAGTCCTGGTGGCTCTAGTGTGGTTCCTGGTTGAAGACTGGCTCAGCAGGAAGAGGACTAGAGAGCGAGCCAGCAGAGCTTCCACTTGGGAAGGCAGGAGAAGGCTGAACACACAGACTCTTTGAAGAATGACCATGAGACACAGTGGCCATGGGTGGATCTGAAAGCTGGTGTTGAGCCTGGGCGGCGTGAGCTCTGTGTTGGACCCACGGAGGAGGGAGTCACTGCAGGGAAAGAGGGACACTGGCATTCCATTTGTCAGAGCATCCCGGACGATGCAGAGGGTGGGAGAACTACATGCTAAATTTCTTTTTTTTTTTTTTTGAGACAGAGTTTTCTCTTGTTGCCCAGGCTGGAGTGCAATGGCGCGATCTTGGCTCACTGCAACCTCTAGCTCTCCATCCCTCGGGTTCAAGTGATTCTCCTGCCTCAGCCTCCTGAGTAGCTGGGATTACAGGCATGTGCCACCACCCCAGCTAATTTTGTATTTTTAGTGGAGACGGGGTTTCTCCCTGTTGGCTGGTCTCGAACTCCTGACCTCAAGTGATCTCCCCGCCTTGGCCTCCCAAAGGGCTGGGATTACAGGCATAAGCCGCTGCGCCCAGCCACTGAATTTCTTCTGTAGACAAATCCTATGGTCTCTTCTAGGCTCTAACTATTTTTGTACCACTTACTGCAAACCATACTTTTAACCACTCTGGTCTTTTCTGAAAAGATCTCTCCTTCTTTAACAGGATGGCCATGGAAATATTTTTTTCCTACTTTGGTCTTTTTTTCTTTCCTTTCTCTGCAGGAAGCCATTCAAAATAGTTAATAACCAATATAGAATAGGTCTGTATCAAATGGTTCAGGAGGCATTGTGGCAACAACCAGTTGTAGAGAAGCAGCTTTATAAGTGAATCCTGCCAGGCACGGTGGCTCACACCTGTAATCCCAACACTTTGGGAGGCTGAGGCGGGCAGATCACCTGAGGTCAGGAGTTCGAGACCAGCCTGGCCAACATGATGAAACCCCATCTCTACTAAAAATACAAAAACTCGGCCAGGCACGGTGGCTCATGCCTGTAATCCCAGCACTTTGGGAGGCCAAGGTGGGAGGATCACCTGAGGTCAGGAGTTCGAGAGCAGCCTGGCCAACATGGTGAAACCACATCTCTACTAAAAATATAAAAATTAGCCAGGTATGGTGGCGTGTGCTTGTAATCCCAGCTACTCAGGAGGCTGAGGCAGGAGAATAGCTTGAACCCGGGAGGCGGAGGCTGCAGGGAGCCAAGATCGCACCACTGCACTCCAGCCTACGTGACAGAGCAAGATTCTGTCTCAAAAAAAAAAAGAAAAAAAAAAAATAAGTGACTCCTGGCTGCATCCCAACCATACCCCAATTCCTTCTAACCACAGAATTATTCCATCTTCTCTTCCTTTTTTTTTTTTTTCTTTTTTTTTGTTTGTTTTGTTGGGACAGAATTTCACTTTTTTTTTTTTTAATGTAAGTTTTAGGGTACATGTGCACAACGTGCAGGTTAGTTACATATGTATACATGTGCCATGTTGGTGTGCTGCACCCACTAACTCGTCATTTAACATTAGGTATATCTCCTAATGCTATCCCTTCCCCCGAGTTTCACTTTTGTCACCCAGGCTGGAATGCAGTGGTGCAATCTTGGCTCACTGCCACCTCCACCTCCAGGGTTCAAATGATTCTCCTGCCTCAGCCTCCTGAATAGCTGGGATTATAGGCATGCACCACCACGCCCGGCTAATTTTTGTATTTTTAGTAGAAATGGGGTTTCACAATGTTGGCCAGACTGGTCTTGAACTCCTGACCTCAGGTGATCCACCAGCCTCGGCCTCCCAAAGTGCTGGAATTACAGGTGTGAGTCACCGTACCCGGCCACCATCTTTGCTTCTTTATCCACACCTTGCCTTGTTCTTCAGGGCTCTGCAGAGATATCATTTCCTCCAAGAGTTTCCACAACTCCGACTTCACAAAGATAGCACTTTTTTTTTTTTTTTTGAGACAGTCTCACTCTGTAGCCCAAGCTGGCGTGCAGTGGCACAATCTCAGCTCACTGCAACCTTCGCCTCTGGGGCTCAAGCGATTCTCCTTCCTCAGCCTCCCAAGTAGCTGGGACTAGAGGCGCGCGCCACCACACCCGGTTAATTTTTTTTGCATCTTTAGTAGAGGTAGGGTTTCATCATGTTGCCCTGGGTGGTCTCAAACTCCTGAGTTCAGGTGATCCCCCCGCCTTGGCCTCTCAAAGTGCTAGGATTACAGGCGTGAGCCACTGCGCCCAGCCAAGACAACACTTTCCTCATCCCAAAGCACCTGTTAATTCCCTGTAACAGCACTTGAACCCTGATTCGGCATGCATGTCCATTTTCCTGCCTCTACCGTGAACTCGTGTGAATTGATCTATGTCAGATTTAGTGGCTGCATTCACAGCTCCCGCAACTATAACGGGGTTCTCGGGAAATATATATCAAATGAGTGAATGTATATACGGGGCTGTGGCACAGCCTGCAACTTGAGACTTCTCACTAGGGGTCTTGAAATGCTGTCTGGACACCACCATCGCTTTCCTCCCTGAGAACTTCTACTTATCAACCCATTTATATACTCATCGCATGGGTCCTCACGCCCTCCCATTATTCTGGTGCCTCATGCCGGTCAAATTTATTCTCTAAATCTGATTTTTCCATTAAATAGCAGCCTGGCCAACACGGTAAAACCCCATCTCTACTAAAAAATACAAAATATTAGCCAGGCGCAGTGGCTTGCACCCGTAATCTCAGCTACTCGGGAGGCTGAGGCAGCAGAATCACTTGAACCCGGGAGGCAGAGGTTGTGGTAAGCCGAGATTGCACCACTGCACTCCAGCCTGGTAACAGAGCGAGACTCCCTCTCAAAATAAATAAACTGCTGACTCGCGTATTTTTTCTTTACCCCAACTCATTCCTTACATGTAGGCACCTGTAATCCTAGCTACTCAGAAGGCTGAGGCAGGAGAATCGCTTGAACCTGGGAGGCGGAGGTTGCGGTGAGCCAAAATCGTGCCACTGCACTCCAGCCTGGGCGACAGAGCGAGACTCCATCTCAAAAAAAAAAAAAAAAAAACCACATAGGCTCAGTCTTTTCAGTATCTGCTTTACTGGTTCAGTAAAAGCCAGGAAACACAACTTTGTGGTAATCTGAATGTTATTGAACTGTATTTTGTTCACTTTATTGTAAATACTAGTGAACAGTGAATAAATGGTTGTATATTCCTAATAAGAAAAAAAAAAAAAAAGACCCAAAGTACAGCGAGCTGATGCCGATCTCATTTCGCAGAGGTCCGCCTGCTCTCCCCTCTCCAAGAGTGTAATCCTATGCTTAATAAACTTATGCCGCTTTGCTATGTGTGTGTATCACACCCAATTCTTTGTTCGAAACACCAAGGGCCTGGAACTTCACAGCTTTGGCTGGTAACGGGGAGCAGGGGTAAAGACATTTAAAAGCTGCTTGTGTTAACCATAATCGCCATCCCATATATCAGACCCCCAGAACTAACTCATCTTATAACTGAATATTGTGCTTTTTTTTTTTTTTTTTTTTTGAGACGAAGTCCTGCTCTGTCACCCAGGCTGGAGTGCAGTGGCGCGATCTTGACTCTGCAACCTCCGCCTCCCGGGTTCAAGCGATTCTCCTGCCTCAGCCTCCCGAGTAGCTGGGACTACAAGTGCGTGCCACCACGCCCGGCTAATTTTTGTATTTTTAGTAGAGACGGGGTTTCTCCATGTTGGTCTCAAACTCCTGGTCTCAGGTGATCCACCCGCCTTGGCCTCCCAAAGTGCTGGGATTACAGACGTGAGCCACCACACCCAGCTACTTGTGCTTTTTGACCAACATCTTCCTCTCCTACCACCCCCAGCCCCTGATAACCTCCACCTACTCTCACTTCTAGGAGATCAACTGTTCTATTTTTTTTTTTTTTTTTTTTTTTTTGAGTCTCGCTCTGCACACCCAGGCTGGAGTGCAGTGCTGCAATCTCGGATCACTGCAACCTCCGCTTTCCGGGTTCAAGCGATTCTCCTGCCTCAGCCTCCAGAGTCGCTGGGATTACTGAGCCACCGCGCCCAGCCAGAAGACCCACGCTCCCTAAGACATAACCCACACTGGTGGCCTTTGTTCTGACTTCTCACCTGTGCTCCCCACCCGCTAGAAACTGGCTTCTCTCCCCACACTTCCTCTGAAGCTGTCTGTGTGACCAACACTAATGAGCTTCCTTCCTGGAACATGCAGTGACCCTTTTCAGCCCTTCTCATTATTGCTCCCCCACAGTTGTATTTGACACGTTGACCACTTCCTCCTCGAAGGACTCACTTCTCTGGCTTTCTCGGACACTTCTTGCTACTCGTTTTCTGACGGTTACAGTACCAACAGGTTTGCAGGCACCTCCACCACCAGAGCCAATCCCAGCTACTCGGGAGGCTGAGGCAGGAGAATCGTTCAAACCCGGGAGGCAGAGGTTGCAGTGAGTCGAGATTGCGCCACTGCACTCCAGCCTGAGTGACAGACTGTGACTCCTCAAAAAAAAACAAAAACAAAAACAAAAAAACTACAGTCTTGCTCTGTCGCCCAGGATGGAATGCAGTGGTGCCATCTTGGCTCACTGCAACCTCTGCCTGCTGGGGTCTAGCGATTCTCCTGCCTCAGCCCCCCAAGGAGCTGGGACTACAGGCATGTGCCGCCACGCCTGGCTAATTTTTGTATTTTTAGTGGAGATGGGGGTTTTACCATGTTAGCCAGGTTGGTCTTGAACTCCCGACCTCATGTGATCCGCCCACCTTGGCCTCCCAAAGTGCGAGGATTACAGGCCCCCGCACCCAGCCTAGGATCCTGCACCTCTCTAGCCTAGCAGTTCTCTGCTGGGTGATTTTGCTCTCCACTCCAGGGGACATTTGGCAATGCCCATGGTAATTTTTAATTGTCATGACTTGGGGAGGGGTTCTACTGGCATCTGGTAGGTAGGGTCCAGGGGTGCTGCTCAGCTTCCTACAATGCCCAGGGCAGCCCCAGATGGCAGCAGCACCAAGGCTGAGAAACACTGGCTCATGCAGAAAGCAACCACCTTACACCCTTCAGTGCAGGGACAAAGGCAGGGTTACGAGTCCACGGAAACTCTCCAGTCTCAGCCTACGTAAGACGTGGCTATTTTTCTTTCTTATTGTTTTTATTCATTTATTTTTCTTGAGACAGAGTCTTGCTCTGTCGCCCAGGCTGGACTGCAGTGGCGCGATCTCTGCTCACTGCAAGCTCCGCCTCCCGGGATCACACCATTCTCCTGGGACTACAGGCGCCCGCCACCTAGCCCGGCTAATTTTTTGTATTTTTAGTAGAGACGGGGTTTCACCATGTTAGCCAGGATGGTCTCGATCTGACCTCGTGATCCTCCCGCCTCGGCCTCTCAAAGTGCTGGGATTACAGGTGTAAGCCACCGCACCCGGCCTTATTCATTTATTTTTTGAGATAGAGTCTGAGCCCTTTATTTTATTTATTTAGAGACCAAGTCTCGCTCTGTTACCCAGGCTGGAGTGCAGTGTCGTGGCCTCAGCTCACTGCAACAACCTCCGCCTCCCGGGTTCAAGCGATTCTCCCACCTTGGCCTCCCAAAGTGCTGGCATTACAGACACCCACTACCATGCCTGGCTAATTTTTTGTACTTTTAGTAAGTAAAGACAGGGTTTCACCATCTTGGTCAGGATGGTCTCGAACTCCTGGCCTCAAGTGATCGGCCCGCCTGGGTCTCCCAAAGTGATGAGATTACAGGCGTGAGCGACCACACTGGCCTAATGTGTAGTTTTTTATCTGTGGCCTCCCTTCTGCCCTCCCCCTTCTGAGACTCTGAAGCCCATTACATCACTCTGCCTTTGTGTACCAACAGCTTAGCTCCCACTGAGAACATACAGAGCCAGGCACGGTGGCGGTGGCTCACGCCTGTAATCCCATCACTTTGGGGGTGCTGAGGCAGGTGTATCGCCTGAGGCCAGGAGTTCAAGACCAGTCTGGCCAACATGGTGAAACCCCATCTCTACTAAAAATAGAAAAATACATAGCTGGGTGTGGTGGCACGTGCCTATAATCCCAGCTACTAGGGAGGCTGAGGTTGGAGAATCGCTTGAACCCAGGAGGCGGAGGTTGCGGTGAGCCAAGATCACACCATTGCACTCTAGCCTGGGCAACAAGAGCAAAACTGTCTTAAAAAAAAAAAAAAAAAGTGAGAACATATGGATTCTACTCCTGTTAGAATAATGGCCTCCAGCTCCATCCAAATTGCTGGAAATGACATTATTTCATTCCTTCTAATGGCTGAATAGTATTCCATGGTACATAGACACCACGTTTTCTTTATCCACTGTAGGGACCAGCCCCACAGGGTCGGTGGGTCTCTCCCTGTGTGCGGCGACGAGAGAGTGTAGAAATAAAGACACAAGACAAAGAGACAAGAGAAAAGGCAGCTGGGCCCGGGGGACCACTACCACCAATGCGCGGAGACCGGTAGTGGCCCCGAATGTCTGGCTGCGCTGTTATTTATTGGATACAAGGCAGAAGGGGCAGGGTAAAGAGTGTGAGTCACCTCCAATGATAGGTAAGGTCACGTGGGTCACGTGTCCACTGGACAGGGGGCCCTTCCCTGCCTGGCAGCCGAGGCAGAGAGGGAGAGGAGACAGAGAGAAAGACAGCTTACGCCATTATTTCTGCATATCAGGGACTATTAGTACTTTCCCTAATTTACTACTGCTATCTAGAAGGCAGAGCCAGGTGTACAGGATGGAACATGAAGGCGGACTAGGAGCGTGACCACCGAAGCACAGCATCACAGGGAGACGGTTAGGCCTCCGGATAACTGCGGGCGAGCCTGACTGATGTCAGGCCCTCCACAAGAGGTGGAGGAGCAGAGTCTTCTCTAAACTCCCCCGGGGAAAGGGAGACCCCCCCCCCCACCCGCTGCCCCTTTCCCGGTCTGCTAAGTAGCGGGTGTTGTTAATTGACACCTTTTGCTACCGCTGGACCATGATCCGCTTGGTGACGGGTGTCTTCCCAGACGCTGGCGTCACCGCTAGACCAAGGAGCCCTCTGGTGGCCCTGTCCGGGCATAACAGAAGGCTCGCACTCTTGTCTTCTGGTCACACCTCACTATGTCCCCTCAGCTCCTATCTCTGTATGGCCTGGTTTTTCCTAGGCTATGATTATAGAGTGAGGATTATTATAATATTGGAATAAAAAGTAATTGCTACCGGCTAATGATTAATGATACTCATATATAATCATATCTAAGATCTATATCTGGTATAACAATTCTTGTTTTATATTTTATTATACTGGAACAGCTCGTGTCCTCTGTCTCTTGCCTCGGTGCCTGGGTGCCTTGCCGCCCACAATCCACTCATTATTCAATGGGCACTTCGGTTGGTTCCACATCTTTGCAATTGTGAATGGCTGAGCCAGCCATTCTTAACTGGGGGTGATTTTGTCCCCATGGGGGTATCTGGCCACATCCCGAGAGGTTTTTTGGTTGTCACGAGTTGCAGTGGGGGCAGGCTCAGGCTCATCCAAGTCCAGGGGTGCTGCTATACATCACGTGATACACAGGACAGTCCTTGCTACGGACTGAATTGGTCCCACCAAACGTCATGTACAAGCCCTACCCCAGATGTGACTCTATTTGGACACAGGGCTTTTCAGAGGTAATTAAGGCTGGTCAGGCGCCGTAATCACAGCACTTTAGGAGTTCTGTGTTTATTACTGGTAAGTGGGTAAGAGCCCAGTGTGGCAGCTCACGCGTGTAATCCCAGCACTTTGGGAAGCGAAGGCAAGGGGATAACTGGAGGCCAGCAGTTCAAGACAAGCCTGGTCAATACAGCAAGACTCCATCTCTATAAAATATTTTAAAATTAGCCAAGCATGTTTGGCATGCACCTGTAATCCCAGCTCAGGAGGCTCAGGTGGGAGGATTCCTTGAGTTTAAGGCTGCAGTGAGCTAAGATCGCACCATTGCACTCCAACCCGGCTGTGGGCAACACAGCACCACCACCATCTTGGCTGGGCACGGTGGCTCACGCCTGTCATGCCAGCACTTTGGGAGGCCGAGGCGGGTGGCTCACCTGAGGTCAGGAGTTTGAGACTAGCCTGGCCAACATGGTGAAATCACGCCACTGCACTCCAGCCTAGGCAACCAAGTGAGACTCTGTCCGCCCCACCACCCCACCAAAAAAAAGACTACTATCTTAAACAAAATCAAAATTTTTAAGTAGATAAAATATTTAGGGGAAAAAAACTTCAATTAAATATGCAGCAGAGTCCGACCCAGATGTTTTCACTCCCAGCCTCTACCTACTATCTTTGTGTCTTTATTTTTAGCAAATTCTACACGGGAACTTCATGTGCATGTAGAACCCTAAATGTTGACTCAGCCCTACCTCTCATCACCTGACCACTTCCTTTATTCACGCTGTCTCTACCACCCTTCCCATCGGTGTGAGCTGTATCCCGCTAAACACTGTTACCACCCACAGCCTGCATTACTACCAGCTGACTGTAGCCTTAAACACCACAGTGATCTCGAGCATTTGAGAAGACTTATCTTGACAAGGGCTCACGAAAGACAGCAATGCTCAACAGCAAGATAAATGAGGGCCTTCATGGGATCATTCAGTGCTGAAGCCACTCAACCTCCAGGTTTGGGTTAGTAAAAAGAACTTTGTCAGGCCAGGCACAGTGGCTCACGCCTGTCATCCCAGCACTTTGGGAGGCCAAGGCGGGCAGATCACCTGAGGTCAGGAGTTCAAGACCAGCCTGGCTAACATGGTGAAACCTCGTCTTTACTAAAAATACAAAAATTAGCCAGGCATGGTGACGCACACCTCTAGTCTCAGCTACTCCGGAGGCTGGGACAGAAGACTCACTTGAACCCAGGAGGCAGAGGTTGTAGTGAGCCAAGATCGCACCACTGCACTCCAGCCTGGGCGACAGAGGCAAGACTCCATCTCAAAAAAAAAAAAAAAAAAAAAAAGAAAAGAAAACTTTGTCATACAAGCTTTCAACCTAAAGCATTAGCCATATGCCCGTGTTTTTGTGCCTGGGACCATGACAACTTTCCCCATATCAATGCTCTTATTTTTTTTTTTTCGAGACAAGAGTTTTGCTCTTATTGCCCAGGCTGGAGTGCAGTGGCACAATCTCAGCTCACCGCAAACTCCGCCTCCCGGGTTCAAGCGATTCTCCTGCCTCAGCCTCCCGAGTAGCTGGGATTACAGGCATACACCACCCCACCCGGCTAATTTTGTATTTTTAGTAGAGACGGGGTTTCTCCATGTTGAGGCTGGTCTCGAACTCCTGACCTCAGGTGATCCGCCCGCCTCGGCCTCCCAAAGTGCTGGGATTACAGGTGTGAGCCACAGCGCCTGGCTGCTCTTATTAAAATAGTCTCATCACCTACCGCAAGCGTGGAGAGCCAAGTGAGGAGAGGGGTCAGTCCCTTTTGGCAGCGCCTGGAAGCCAGTGCTAACATCATGGTGACAACTTTTCATTCTTAAGGAAAATTGCGGAGTGACTTCTATGCATTTTCTATGAATGACCAAATACAGGGTGTGGAAAAGCTGTGTTTGCCATGGCAATGGGAAGCCGAGAGAAACGGGGAGGCGAGAGAGACAGAGACATACACAGAGACTCCCAGAGACAGCCACACAGACTCACACAGAAACAGACAGACAGGCTGGGCTCGGTGGCTCACGCCTGTAATCCCACCACTCTGGGAGGCTGAGGCGGGTAGATCACCTGAGGTCAGGAGTCCGAGAACAGCCTGGCCAACATTGTGAAACCCCGTCTCTAGTAAGAATACAAAAAATTAGCCAGGCATGGTGGCACAGGGCTGTAATTCCGGCTACTCGGAAGGCTGAGGCAGGAGAATCACTTGAACCTGGGAGGCGCGGTTGCAGTGAGCTGAGATCACGCCATTGCACTCCAGCATGGGCGACAAGAGTGAAACTCCGTCTCAAAAAAAAAAACAAAAAAAAAAAACGAAAGAACAGAGAGACACATACAAAGACAGAGATAGAAACGCCCAGCGACAGAGACACACACAGAGAAACACAGACAGACACAGAGACACACACACAGAAACAGACACAGAGACAGAGAGACAAAAAGACAGACACAGAGAAACAAAGAGAGACACACAGAGACAGAGAGAGAGAGAGACACATACACACACACACAGAGAGTAGGAGGCGGCCCGTGGGAGCCGAGCAGAACCAGCGTGAGGCAGGGCCATCTTCTGAATTAAAGGCAACAGTGACTGTAAGCTTGTGCTTTGTGAGTAACAGGATAGATTAGAACAGGGCTGGCTGCCCATGGCCCACGAGCTGTTTCTGGGAAGCCTCCGCAGGTGCCAGCCAGGCCCTGCGCTGCTTCCATGTCCAAAGGCACAGCTGAGAGCTGATGAGAGACCGCGGGGCCCACAGTGCCAAGCATATGAACTATCTGGCCCGTTTGTCAATGCGTGGGTTGATCACATAAGTTATGATCACATAAGTCACAAAGACACACTGATCACATAGATGCACCTGGCAGATAGTAGACCACATGGCGCCTGAGTTAGGGAAGAAAAGAAATAGAAGAATCAACCGAATCATCCCTGAACTTCTTAGCAATACTTCCTCCTAGACAAAGCACAGAGTACCATGTTTATTGCAGGTTTGCTCCTGAGCATGTCAATAAACGCAGCTGCAACGAGAGTGCTCTAACTTTATTATCCCTGTGAGAAAGTACATAGCGTCATGTGAAGGGGGTGCGTGACTCGTGCAGAATCTCCCAAAAATAGTGAGAAAACCAGTGTCAAATCCTACCTCTCGACAGACTCTAGTGTTAACATGTGACCCTCTGACCTGCATTCATAAGACATCTTAGAGACCCGAATCCCGCTTCCTGTGTAATTCGTAGAGCGATCCCAGGCTGCTCAGCAAAAAAAGTCACAGCACGGAGGTGCCGTTGCCCCGGAAGCATTGCAATCAATAGTCAGCTTGGGATTCTTTTCTTTCACTTCCTCCAACAGCTTCTTGATTTCCAAATTAGTTTCATAGGTCTTCAACCTGGAGGGATCAGAGAACACAAATGTTCCCAGAAATTCATTCTCAACTACCCAGGATGCCTGAATATCTGTTTTCAAACACTCAAAGCAGGAAACGTTTTTGGGATTTTCTGGGGGACAGGGTCTTGCTCTGTTGCCCAGGCTGGGGTACAGTGGTGCCATCTTGGCTCTCTGCAACCTCCAGCTCCCAAGTTCAAGCAATTCTCATGCCTCAGGCTCCTGAGTAACTGTGATTACAGGTGTGCACCACCACGCTTGGCTAAGTTTTGTATTTACAGTAGAGATGGGGTTTCGACATGTTAGCCAGGCTGGTCTCGAACTTCTGGCCTCAAGTGATCCATCCACCTCGGCCTCCCAAAGCCATGGGATTACAGATGTGAGCCACAGCACCCAGTCAGAAAAGTTTTCTAAAAAGAAATTTAGACCCACACAATGGGGATCCTTATAAGTCTAAGAAAAAAAAGATTATGGCCAGGCACGGTGTCTCGCACCTGTAGTCCCAGCACTTTGGGAGGCCAAGGCAGGCAGATTGCTTGAGCTCCGCAGTTCAAGGCCAGCCTGGGCAACACGGTGAAACCCTGTCTCTACCAAAAATAGAAAAAGTTAGCCAGGAATGGTGGTGCACGCCTATAGTCCCAGCTACTCGGGAGGCGGAGGCAAGAGGATCACTTGAGCCCAGGAGGCGGAGGTTGCAACGAGCTAGAGATTGCCCTACTGCACTCCAGCCTGGTAACAGAGTAAAACATGCCTTTAAAAAATAAATTTAAAAAATAGATAATCAGGCTGGTGCACGGTGACTCACGCCTATAATTCCAGCACTTTGGGAGGCCGAGGCGGGCAGATCACCTGAGGTCAGGAATTCGAGACCAGCCTGGCCAACATAGTGAAACCCCGTCTCTACTAAAAATACAAAAATTAGCTGGGCATGGTGGCAGACAACTGTAATACCAGCTACTCAGGAGGCTGAGACAGGAGAATCGCTTTGAACCTGGGAGGCAGATGTTGCAGTGAGCCAATACCGCACCACTGTACTGCAGCCCGGGTGACAGAGCGAGACTCTGCCTCCAAATAAATAAATAAAAAATAGTGGCAAATCAAACCTTCAGTAGAACTAAGAGAATGCCAGAGTGAACCCCAGGGTTAATGATAGCAAACTTGGCTCTAACGTGGCTGCAGCATGCAAGCCTGTGTATGTGAACATGAGGGGTGGTGATTGTGGAGACACTGGCTTGCTATGTTGCCCAGGCTGGTCTCAAACTCCTGGCCTCAAACAATCCTCCCACCTTGGCCTCCCAAAGGAGGAACTGAGGAATGAGAAAAGAAATACGCCCCAAACATATGACATAAGAGACCACAGGGGGCTAGAGATTTGTCACCAATAGTCCTTGGTGGCATTACAGACCTCGGTCCCACCAACAAGAGAAGCATGACACTATTTAGCTCAAGTTTCATGATATACCCCTAAAACCTTAACCCATTTATGCCAGAGGTTACAATTATTTGAACTGCAGACGTGTGAAAAATCGTACCTTGAGCAGGATATAAATAACTCCCACATGCTTAGCGTTCCAATAATGCAACACTGGGCATCATGAAGCAGTTTACATGCGTATCATCTCTACAACTAAAATAACTCTTGAATAAGACAAGTGGGCTGTGCACAGTGGCTCACGCCTGCAATCCGGGTACTTTGTGAGGCCAAGACAGGAGGATCGTTTGAAGCCAGGAGTTTGAGAACCTCGGCAACACGGCCACACAGTGCAGCAGAGCAAAACGTTGTCTCAGAAAAGAAAAGACAAAGGCAAGAAGAAACTAAAGGTAGATTACGTTAAAATAAGTCACTGAGGCCGGGCGCGGTGGCTCACGCCTGTAATCCCAGCACTTTGGGAGGCCGAGGTGGGCAGATCACCTGAGGTCAGGAATTCGAGACCAGCCTGGCCAACATAGTGAAACCCCATCTCTACTAAAAATACAAAAAATTAGCCGGGCGTGGTGGCGGGCGCCTGTAGTCCCAGCTGCTCGGGAGGCTGAGGCAGGAGAATGGCGTGAACCCGGGAGGTGGAGCTTGCAGTGAGCCGAGATCGCACCGCTTCACTCCAGCCTGGGCGACAGAGACTGGAGTCTCTGTCTCAAAAAAAAGACAGATTCAAAAAAAAAGACAGACTCCGTCTCAAAAAAAAGACTCCGTCTCAAAAAAAAATAAAAAATACAAATAAGTCATTGAAAAGATATACACGGGTCACAACTAAGGGAGCATCTGTAGGACGATCTTCTGAAAAGCTAAGACCCAGGACAGCTCTGGGAACTACCTATTTTTGGATATAATGATTAGGGGTGTGTGTGTGTGTGTGTGTGTGCTCATGCACACACATACACACAAGCTTCCAGTCTGTACTCCAGGATGATTTAAACTCTCAGTATGCCTAGGACTAAGTGTTTTGGGGGAAAGTTGGACAATATTCAATTCACAGAGCATTTTAGAAAAGTATCTAATTTTTAAATTATCTCCTAAGCTAGGAGTGTGCTATAGAAAGATGCCTTAAGTTGATCCCTACAAAGAGTACACACACTCCCAAAAAAACTCTTCTCTGCATGGGAAATTCACCATGTGAAACAGCCATCCCAGGGCCGAGCACAGTGGCTCACGCCTGTAATCCCGGCACTTTGAGAGGCTGAGGCAGGTGGATCACCTGAGGTTGGGAGTTTGAGACCAACCTGACCAACATGGTGAAACCCCATCTCTACTAAAAACTACAAAAATTGGCCAGGTGCAGTGGCTCATGCCTGTAATCCCAGCACTTTGGGAGGCCAAGGCGAGAAGATCACCTGAGGTCAGGAGCTCGAGACCAGCCTGGCCAACATGGCAAAACCCCATCTCTACTAAAAATACAAAAATTAGCTGGGTGTGGTGGCGAGCGACTGTAATCCTAGCTACTCAGGAGGCTGAGGCAGGAGAATCACTTGAACCCAGGAGGCAGAGGTTGCACTGAGCCGAGATAGCGCCACTGCACTCCAGCCTGGGGGACAGAGAGAGACTCTGTCTTTAAAAAAAAAAAAAAAAAAAAAAAATTAGCCAGCTGTGGTGGTGTGTACCTGTAATCCCAGCTACTCAGGAGGTTGAGGCAGGAAAATCGCTTCAACCTGTGAGAAGGAGGCTGCAGTGAGTCAAGATCGCGCCACTGCACTCCAGCCTGGGCAACAGTGAGACTCCATCCCAAAAAGCAAAAACCAAAAAGGCCGGGTGCAATGGCTCACCTCTGTAATCCCACCACTTTGGGAGGCCGAGGCAGGTGGCTCACCTGAGGTCAGGAGTTCAAGACTAGCCTGGCCAACATGGTGAAACCCCTCTCTACTAAAAAATTAGCCAGGCATGGTGGCAGGCATCTGTAATTCCAGCTACTTGGGAGGCCAAGGTGGGAGAATCGCTTGAACCCAGGAGGTGGGGGTTGCAGTGAGCCAAGATCGCACCACTGCACTCCAGCCTGGGCTACAAGAACAAAACTCCGTCTCAAAAAAAAAAAAAGAAAAAGAAAAAAATTAGCTGGACATGTTGGCATGCCTCTAGGCCCAGCTACTCATGAGGCTGAGGCAGGAGAATTGCTTGAACCTGAGAGGCAGAGGTTGCGGTGAGCCAAGATTGCGCCACTGCACTCCAGCCTGAATGACAGAGCACGACTCCATCTCAAAAAAACAAAAACAAAAAACAAAACAAAACAAAACAAAAAACCCATACCTGAGTATCTTCAAGGATCCAGTTCTTTGTCTTAGAACCCCAAAGAGCTTAATTATGCCACTCTTCCACAAATGATTCTGGCCCAGGTCCAGAGTTTCAAGCTTCTGATTGCTGAGGAGAGCAGATCCAAGATGCTGACAATAGAAAGGCATGAGGGAGCAGCTCCAGAGGCTGTTGAGGAAGAACATGGAAATCCACGCATTCACTGAGCAGGTAGTGGCTCAAGCGTGTAATCCCAACACTTCGGGAGGCCAAGGCGGGTGGATCACTTGAGGCCAGGTGTTCGAGACCAGCCTTGCCAACACGGTCAAACCCCATCTCTACTAAAAATACAAAGATTAGGCAGGGCGTGGGGACAGACACCTGTAGCCCCAGCACCTTGGGAGGCCGAGGAGGGTAGATCACCTGAGGTCAGGAGTTCGAGACCAGCCAGGCCAACATGGCAAAACCCCATCTCTACAAAAAATTAGCCATGCATGGTGGTGTGTGCCTTTAATGCTAGCTACTTGGGAGGCTGAGGCACAAGAATCGCTTCAGCCTGGGAGGCGGAGGTTACAGTGAGCCCAGATTGCGCCACTGCACTCCAGCCTGGGCAATAGAATGAGACTCCATCTCACAAATATATAACATAAAATGAAAATACAAAAATTAGCCAGGTATGGTGGAACCACCTATAATTCCAGCTACTCGAGAGGCAGGAGAATCGCCTGAACCAGGAGGCAGAGGTTGTAGTTAGCCAACATATCACCACTGCATTCCAGCTTGGGTGAAAGAGTGAGACTTGGTCTCAAACAAAACAAAACAAAAAAACAAGCAGCATATTTGCTGGGGCTCCAGTAGTGAGGAAAGGCAGAGGGGAGTGAGCAGAAGAAATCCTTGTCCTCAGAGTTTTTAGTGACAGCAGACATCTCGATATGTTCTATTGAAGACAATGGATGATGGTATTAAAATAAACAGGGTAGAGGTAAGTCAAACAGAGAGGCATTGATTGGCTAGACTTATGCTGGTCATTTAAGTCCTCTTTTGGAAAGTGATATGAGGAAAGAAACTGAAGGATGGTAGATCATGAACCAGCATGCTAACTGGGGGAGGGAATCTTGTAAATAAAATACTGAGCTAGTGAGAAAGTAGAATGATTTATGGCTCATAACTTACACGAGGATCCCCCATAAGGCCCTGTAGGCCACTGTAGAAGCCTTTGGTTTTGTTTTTTTTAAGGCAGAGTTTCACTCTTGTTGCCAAGGCTGGAGTGCAATGGCGTGATCTCGGCTCACTGCAACCTCCGCCTCCTGGGTTCAAGCGATTCTCCTGCCCCAGCCTCCCGAGAATCTAGGATTACAGTCATAGCTGAGATTACAGGAACAAGACACCAGGTAATCCACCCGTTTGCATTGAGCTTTTGAGTCTTTGGAAATAAAGGTATCACGGTCTGGCTTGAGGCTTGAAATATTCCTCAGGGGGATGGGTTAAGAAACTTCAGGAGGCCAGGAATGGTGGCTCATGCCTGTAATCCCAGCACTTTGGGAGGTTGAGGCAGGTGGATCACTTGAGGTCAGGAGTTTGAGACCAGTCTGGCTAACATGGTGAAACCTGGTCTCTACTAAAAATACAAAAATTAGCTGGGTATGGTGGTGCACGCCTGTAATCCCAACTACTCAGCTCAATCAGGAGAATCGCTTGAACCTTGGAGGCTGAGGTTGCAGTGAGCCAAGATCGCACCACTGCACTCCAGCCTGGGTGACAAAGCGAGACTCTGTCTGAAAAAAGAAAAAAAGTACCCTGTGTTCTAGTGTTTTTTTTCTTTACTCTACAGCAAAGCTAAGTAGTAATGACGTGCAGATTCTCTTTGCATTAGGATTGCAGATTCTAGTTGGAAAATAGGTTGCATCCAAGAGATGCAACTGACAAACTTTGGGGAGAGAAGTGATGAAGAGCTCGCCATTCCATTTGTGGAGACTTTGCATTTTCTGGGGGTGGTATCCCACCTATGGTTCCCTGGGTTTATGAGGTGGGGCAGGCTCACTGCTTCCTGATTACTGGATCCCAGCAGAAGCAGCATGCTGCTGAAGTCCAGGTCACTGGGGGCCATTGTTATATATATTTCACTTCTCCAGGCCCTCTACCTGACTTTAGAAGTGCCCACCCACATATATTCAGTTTCTGGAGGGGTTTGATCTTAAAACTGGATCCGAAGTGATACAGTCTGAGATATTGAAAACATAGAAATTGGCCGGGCGTGGTGGCTCACGCCTGTAATCCCAGCACTTTGGAAGGCCAAGGCGGGCAGATCATGAGGTCAGGAGATCGAGACCATCCTGGCTAACACTGTGAAACCCATCTCTACTAAAAATACAAAAAAAATTAGCCAGGCACGGTGGCGGGCATCTGTAGTCCCAGCTACTCAGGAGGCTGAGGCAGGAGAATAGCGAGAACCCGGGAGGAAGAGGTTGCAGTAAGCCGAGATCGCGCCACTGCACTCCAGCCTGGGCAACTAGAACGAGGCTCCGTCTCAAAAAAAAAAAAAAAAAAAGAAAACATAGAAATTAAGGATTTCCAGATTTCCAAACACTTTAAAAATGAGGCCAGGCATGATGGCTCATGCCTGTAATCCTAGCACATTGGGAGGCCGAGGTGGGAGGATTCCTTGAGCACCAGAATTCAAAACCAGCCCGGGAAAGATGACAAGACCTCATCTCTACAGAAAACAGTTACCTGGCCATGGTAATACATGCCTGTAGAGCCAGCTACTCAGGAGGCTGAGGTGGGAGAACCGATCAAGCCTGGAAGACCGAAGCCGCAGTGAGCCGTAATCACCCCACTGCACTCCAGGCTGGGGGACAGAGCAAGACCCTGTCTCAAAAAAAGAAAGAAAGAAGAAAAAGAAAATCGCCTACCGTAGGTGTTTTAGGTTACAGTTTGGATTCTCTAATGCCTGACAGAGAATCCACAATCCACGAGCTATCTGGTTGATACTCAAGTCCAGGTTTGTGAGGCTGCAGGCTTCTTGGAGCGCCTCTGAGAGATATCTACAGCCAAGCTTGGTTATGCTGCATTGCTGTAACCTACAGGATAATCAAAGGAAGAGAAGCCTGTTATCCCTCTGGCTAACGCCCTGTGAAGCAGTTATTTCCAACACTATATACCTTCCACTTATATACTGGAATGCAGTGCTGCACTCTTGGCTCACTGCAACCTCTGCCTCCCAGGTTCAAGCGATTCTTCTGCCTCAGCCTCCCAAGTAGCTGGGATTATAGGTGCCCGCCACCTATATAACCAGACTTGGTGGTGCACGCCTGTAGTGCCAGCTACTCAGAAGACTGAGGCAGGAGAATCGCTTGAATCCGGGAGGCAGAGGCTGCAGTGAGCTGAGATCGCGCCACTGCACTCCAGCCCGGGCGACAGAGCGAGACTCCGTCTCAAGAAAACAACAACAACAACAAAAAGTATTTATATAAAACATAGGTGGCAGGTAGGAATTGACCCATGAACTGGAGCTATATACTTCCAGGTGGGCTTGCACATAAAAGCATGCAAATGGGCCGGGCACAGTGGCTCACGCCTATAATCACAGCAGTGGGAGGCCAAGACGGGCAGATCATTTGAGGTCAGGAGTTCAAGACCAGCCTGGCCAACATGGTGAAACCCCATCTCTACTAAAAAATACAAAAATCGGGCCGGGCGCGGTGGCTCAAACCTGTAATCTCAGCACTTTGGGAGACCAAGGTGGGTGAATCACAAGATCAGGAGTTCAAGACCAGCCTGGCCAAAGTGGTGAAACCCCATCTTTACTAAATACAAAAATTAGCTGGGCACGATGGCTCACACCTGTAATCTCAGCACTTTGGGAGGCTGAGGCAGACAGATCACCTGAGGTCGGGAGTTCAAGACCAGCCTAAGCAATATGGAGAAACCCGTCTCTACTAAAAATACAAAATTAGCCAGGTGTGGTGGCACATGCCTGTAATCCCAGCTACTCAGGAGGCTGAGGCAGGAGAATCTCTTGAACTGGGGAGACGGAGGTTGTGGTGAGCAGAGATTGCACCATTGCACTCCAGCCTGGGCAAGAGCGAAACTCCATCTCAAAAAAAAAAAAAAATTAGCCAGGTGTGGCGGCCCATGCCTGTAATCCTAGCTACTCAGGAGGCTGAGGTAGGAGAATTACTTGAACCCAGGAAGCGGAGGTTGCAGTGAGCCAAGATCGCACCACTGCACTCCAGCCTGGTGACAGAGAGAGACTGTTAAAAAAAAAAAAAAAACATCCAAATGGCCTTCTGATTCCATCCATTTCCAGCTCTGCCTGGGACAACAGCTTAGGCTCTGGGTTCAGACCGACCCAGGACAGGATCTGAGCCCTGGGTCACTTATTTTCTGCGTGGTTAGATTATGGAAATTTCACTTTCCCTGTCATTTTATTTCATGTTTAAGTTTTGTCTTTAACTGACACATTCTACATATATAGGGGTATAGTGTGATGTTTTGGTGCAGGTACACTTCGTATAACGATCAGGTAGGTGACTGTTTGTTTAACAATAGTTATTCTAAGCCAGGCACAGTGGCTCATGCCTGGAACGCCAGCACTTTGGGAGGCCGAGGCAGGCAGATCACTTAAGGCCAGGAGTTCAAGACCAGCCTGGCCAACATGGTGAAACCTCATCTCCACTAAAAGTGCAAAAATTAGCCAGGCATGGTGGAGGGCACCTGTAATCCCAGCTACTTGGGAGGCTGAGGCAGGAGAATCGCTTGAACCTGGGAGGCAGAAGTTGCAGTCAGCCAAGATTACACCACTGCATTCCAGTCTGGGCGACAGAGTGAGACTTCATCCAAAAAAAAAAAAATGAATCTCAGAAATGACCACTAGCTAGAATTTCTGAACAGGAACAGGTCTTCAACCCTATGCAATCTCTTGAATATTTTTCTAACCATAATTTTAATGTGAACAGGTAGCTCACGCTGGGCTTCTTTCCATATAACAAGATTCAGCCAACTATAGTTCGTGGGTCAATTCCAACCTGCCACCTATGTCTTTTACAAATAAGGATTTTTGTTGAGTTTTTTTTTGTTTTTTTCTTGAGACGGAGTCTCACTCTGTCGCCCGGGCTGGAGTGCAGTGGCGCCATCTCAGCTCACTGCAGCCTCTGCCTCCCAGATTCAAGCGATTCTCCTACCTCAGCCTTCTGAGTAGCTGGTACTATAGGCACGCACCACCAAGCCTGGTTAATTTTTGTATTTTTTAGTAGCGATGGGTTTTCACCATGTTGGCCAGGCTGGTCTCGAACCTTAGGTGATCTGCCCACCATTCACCACCTGTTCCCCAATAACCTATGGAAATAAAAGTTTAAAAAAAGGTGCCACTGGCCCTACCACATAACTCAATCTACCTCCAATAGCAGGCAGTACTATGTCATAGGAATTTGAAAGAACACACACAAAGCATCAGATCCGAGAACCAACTACTCATCTCAAATCTTCCTTCATAGCAGGAAGAGGCTCTGCTGACATGCAAATATTAACATGTTTCTACCTGTATCTGCCTGGTTTTTTTTGTTTCTTTGTTTTTTTGAGAAGGAGTCTTGTTCTGTCGCCCAGGCTGGAGTGCAGTGGTGCGATCTCGGCTCACTGCAACCTCCGCCTTCCAGGTTCACGCCATTCTCCTGTCTCATCCTCCCAAGTAGCTGGGACTACAGGCATCCGCCACCACACCTGGCTAATTTTTGGTATTTTTAGTACAGACAGGGTTTCACCATGTTAACCAGGATGGTCTCCATCTCCTGACCTCATGATCCACCCGCCTCGGCCTCCCAAAGTGCTGGGATTACAGGCATGAGCCACCACGCCTGGCCTCTGCCTGTTCTTTAATTCTTACCAGGTTTTTAAAAGTTACATTTGAAATGAATTAACAAGTACTTTCATGTCTCTCCTGCTTGAATTCATGTGCACACACACACACACCCAGCAGGGACTTACACCAAGGTCTGCAGTTTACAATCAGGGTAACTCAAGCCCTCACACAGAAACTTCACCCCTGTATCCCCAATGGGGTTCTTGGCCAAGCACAGGTGTGTCAGCTTCTTGCTGACAACCAAGACAGCAGCAAGGTCCTTGCAACTGGCTTCTGTAAGACGACAGTTTTCCAACCTGCAAAAATATGAAACAAATGGTAGAAGGATGAGAACATTTCCACAACTCCAACCTGCTCAGTGATGTCCACATGCTAGGGTACTCAGCTTCAGCCCTTCCTGTTCATCCCCTGCCCTCTGTCCTGTGGGAGTCATCATGGCCACAAAAGAGCAGGAAGGCGAGAAGGCCAAGATGCAGCGGTCCACCTGGAGCCATCACAGGACACAGGTGTTGTTTTTGAGACGGAGTCTCGCTCTGTCGCCCAGGCTGGAGTGCAGTGGCGCGATCTCGGTTCACTGCCAATCGCCGCCTCCCAGGTTTACACCATTCTGCTGACTCAGCCTCCTGAGTAGCTGGGACTACAGGCGCCCACCACACCTGGATAATTTTTTGTATTTTTTAGTAGAGACGGGGTTTCACCATGTTAGCCAGGATGGTCTCGATCTCTTGACCTCGTGATCTCCCCGCCTTGGCCTCCCAACGTGCTGGGATTACAGGCATGAGCCACCGCACCCGGCCTGTTTTTGGTATTTTTAATAGAAACAGGGTTTCACCATGTTGGCCAGGTTGGTCTCGAACTCCTGAACTCAGATGATCCGCCCACCTCTCTGCTGAGATTACAGGCAGGAGCCACCGTGCCGGGCCTGAAGCAGGTGTTTATTTCAGCAAGAGGCGCCACGTGGGTGGCGCAGTAAGTCAGGTGTTACCCTTTCTCTTCTATAGCCCCAGAACTAAACCAGAGCTGCCCATGGGAAGAGGAGACTTACGACAACATCTGCAGGAAGTGTTTTGGGCGTGTCATGGTCTTGTACAGCAACATGGCACCCTCATCCAGGAGCACATTGGCTGAGAGACGCAGGTGCTTCAGGGACTGGTTGGCTTTGAGGACATAGAAGAATTCAGCCCACTGCTCCGGGGTGGCACAGTGACCTCCCAACCTGTGAAAAGAGTGGGAAAAGTCATTCTTCTGGGAGGACAGAGTATACCCTATCAGCTTTTTTTTTTTGAGACAGAGTTTCACTCTGTTGCCCAGTCTGGAATGCAAAGGCGTGATCTCACCTCACTGCAGCCTCCGCCTCCCGGGTTCAAGCTATTCTCCTGCCTCAGCCTCCGAAGTAGCTGGGATTACAGGCATTCGCCAATTTTTGTATTTTTAGTAGAGACGGGATTTCACCATGTTGGCCACACTGGTCTTGAACTCCTGACCTCAGGTGATCCACCCACCTTGGCCTACCGAAGTACTGGGATTACAGGTGTGAGCCACCGCGCCTGGCCCAGATCAGCTTCTTCTGCTTCACTTCCCAAGACATTATGTCTTTGGTTTATCTCATTCTACTCATGCCTCCAACCCTGGCCTGAATTACTGGAGAGATCTAATGTTGCCTCTGCTTCTTCAAGTATCCCCATGGCCATTAGGGTAACATCCAGCCACTTCTCCAAGAGATTGTAATACAATTCTGTGCAATGTTTCACCAAAACGGCCTGTGTGGATGATTTTGCAGGGGGGAAAAAAAAATTTTTTTTTTGAGACAGGATCTCGCTCTGTTGCCCAGGCTGGAGTGCAGTGGCATGATCACAGGTCACCACAACCTGTCTCCTGGGCTCAAATGATCCTCCCACCTCAGCATCCACTGTAGCTGGGACTAGAAGGGGCAAATTGATGCTTAATACTCAAAATAAAAATTTTATCCTGGCCAGGCGCAGTGGTTCATGCCTGTAATCCTAGCACTTTGGGAGGCCGAGACAGGCGGATCACTTGAGGTCAGGAGTTCGAGACCAGCCTGGCCAACATGGTGAAACCCTGTCTCTATTAAAAATACAAACATTTGCCAGGCGTGGTGGTGCACGCCTGTAACCCCAGCTACTCGGGAAGCTGAGGCAGAACTGCTTGAACCCAGGAGGCGGAGGTTGCAGTGAACGAGATCGCGCCACTGCGCTCCAGCCTGGGTGACAAGAATAAAACT
The DNA here is from genome assembly GCF_000001405.40 of Homo sapiens. Lineage (NCBI taxonomy): Eukaryota > Metazoa > Chordata > Mammalia > Primates > Hominidae > Homo > Homo sapiens. Next base: position 915,672 of record NW_003571056.2, read on the forward strand.
GTCTCAAAGAAAAAAAAAAAAAAAAAAGATTCTCATTGAGTGCAGAGAAGGTTGCATGCTCCTTATGAATACCTAACTCCTGATGATCTGAGATTGATGATCCATTCTCCTCAGGCTCCCAAAGTGCGAGGATCATGCACTCCATAGGATCAGGCACCAACGATTAGCTCCTGTGCCTGATCTGAGATCGAACAGTTTCATCCCAAAACTACCCCCAAACCCGTCTGTGGAAAAAACTGTCTTGTGCAAAACCGGCCCGCGGTGCAGAAAAGGCTGGGGGCCACTGCTCTCAATCCCAACAATTAGGCAAGGTGCAGTCAGGAATAGCATGTCCCTAAAGCTGGAACCCAGCACAGAATTCGGGGTGTTTCTTTGCATGGATAGCTGGTTATGCAACACAGAAGACAAGCTGGTGGGGGAAAGAGGAGAGGCCGACTCCCCCACACAGGCCTGTTTGAGGAATACATTCCCTGTCTGGGACGGCATCTGGAGTGGTTACCCTTTTTCCTAGATCCCCCAGCAACACGGTGCAGTGGACTCCAGGTGCTGGGGAGAGCCGTGACCGTGAGACCCACCTCAGGTACTGCAGGTTGCATTTATGATTTCTGAGCAGGTCACACAGCATCAGCATCATCGTGCGTTCCCACTCGATGTGCCCTGCCAGGGTCAGGTGCGTGAGGGTCTTCTTCCCAATGAAAGCAAGACAGAAGTCCCGGTACGCGGTGTCAGGGGTGACGTTTTTAATCCTAGGGAAAAGCAGAAGAGATTCCACTTGGAGTGATTAATACTCACATTGTGTGGAGGCATGTATAAACAAAAAGCTGTTTCACATTTAGAAATTATTAGAAGTTCTTGGCCGGGTGCAGTGGCTCGTGTCTGTAACCCCAGCACTTTGGGAGGCTGAGGCAGGAGGATAACCTGAGGTCAGGAGTCTGAGACCAACCTGGGCAACATGGTGAAACTCCATCTCTACAAAAAATAAATTAGCTGGGGCCGAGGCAGGCAGATCGCCTGAGGTCAGGAGTTCGAGACCAGCCTGGCCAACATGGGGAAGCCCCGTCTCTACTAAAAATACAAAAATTAGCTGCACATGGAGGGGCATGCTTGTAGTCCCAGGTATTCGGGAGGCTGAGGTAGGAGAATCACTTGAATCCAGGAGGCAGAGGTTGCAGTGAGCCGAGACCGCACCACTGCACTCCAGCCTGGGCAACAGAGCAAGACTCCATCTCAAAAGAAAAAAAAATTCGCCGGGTGTGGTGGCTCACGCCTGTAATCCCAGCACTTTGGGAGGCCGAGGCCGAGGCGGGTGGATCACGAGGTCAGGAGATCAAGACCATCCTGGCTAACACGGTGAAACCCCGTCTTTACTAAAATTACAAAAAACTAGCCGGGCGTGGTGGCGGGCGCCTGTAGTCCCAGCTACTCGGGAGGCTGAGGCAGGAGAATGGCATGAACCCGGGAGGCAGGGCTTGCAGTGAGCCGAGATTGCTGCACTGCACTCCAGCCTGGGGAACATAGCGAGACTGTCTCAAAAAAAAAAAAAAAAGTCAAGAAGCAGAGGATCAGGAAAAACAACTAAGGGGTACTAGGCTTAATACTTGGGTGACAAAATAATCTGTACAACAAACTCCTATGACACACGGTTACCTGTGTAACTAACCTGTACTTGTACCTACTTTTTGGTTTGTTTTGGTAACAAAACAAACCAAAAAAAAGATAGCTGGGGCCAGGCATGGTGGCTCATGCCTGTAATCCCAGCACTTTCGAAGACCGAGGCAGGCGCATCACCTTAGGTCAGGAGTTCGAGACAAGCCTGGCCAAGATGGAGAAAATTCCACCTCTACTAAAAACACAAGATTAAGTCATTGCACTCCAGCGCCTAGGTGACAGAGTGAAACTCTGTCTCAGAAAAAATAAAAAATAAAAAAGGGGCCAGGTGCAGCGGCTCATGCCTATAATCCCAGCACTTTGGAAGGCCGAGGCAGGCAAATCACCTGAGGTCAGGAGCTCGAGATCAGCCTGGGCAACACGGTGAAAACCTGTCTGTGCTAAAAGTACAAAATTAGCCGGGCAAGGTGGCACATGCCTGTAATCCCAGCTACTCGGGAGGCTGAGGCAGGAGAATTGCTTGAACCTGGGAGGTGGAGGATGCAGTGAGCTGAGATCGCGCCATTGCACTCCAGCCTGGGCAACAAGAGTAAATCTCCGTCTCACCAAAAAAAAAAAAAAAAAAAAAGACAGCTGGAAAATCCCCAAATACATGGAGATGAAACAGCACATTTCCAAATTTAAAAAACAAAAGTACAAGAAGCTTAGTCATCGTTCAGGGTCTTCCTTGCAAGATGAGCTTCTACTTACTCCACTTTCTGCAGATGACAGGTGCTACGGGTTACGTGGTCACAAAGAATCCGCACAGAAGAGTCACTCAGGAAGCTTTGTTTCACTTCCAGAAACTTGAGGTTGCTGTTTGAGCTGAAGAGAGAGCAGAAATCTGTCCAGAGGCGAAGAGAGCGAAGATCCTGCCGAGCCCAGTTCGGAATGGTTAGGTAAGTGCACCTGCAGGAGAACACACGTTCATCTCTTAGGACTAGTACCTGCATGGTGAGATGGGCATCTGCAAACCACATTTCAATGGCAAAAACCACAATTACTTTTGCACCAACCTAAAACAGTGTCTATAGTAAACAATATTGCATCACATGCTTTGCTACCAGTATAGATCTTAAGTTTTACAAAAAAAATAAAATAATAGATAAGGCTGAGTGAGGTGGCTCATGCCTGTAATCCCAACACTTTGCTAGGCCAAAGTGGGAAGATCACTTGAGCCCAGGAGTTTAAGACCAACTTGGGCTAGAAACTGAGACCCCCATCTCTACAAAAAAATAAAATAATTAACCGGGCAAGGTGGTGCACGCCCATAGTCCCAGCTACTCGGGAGGCTGAGGCAGGAGAATCACTTGAACCCGGGAGGCGGAGGTTGCAGTGAGCCAAGATCGCGCCACTGCACTCCAGCCTGGGGGACAGAGCGAGACTCCGTCTCAAAAATAAAAAGCCCCAATTCCTAATTGCCAAGTCGTGTCTCCACGTTGAACATGAAGCTGGAAAGAAGTCCAGCCAGAGGGAAATTCTGACAGTAAGCGACAGGGCAAAGGAGACGCTGGCCTCTTCCTAGTGGAGCGTGGGATGGGAAAACAGTTCTTACCTTTCAAATTCAATGTCCAGTTCAAAATCCATGTAATTCTCCAGGAACACCCCCTTTGCTACCTGCAGTGAGAGTTTCTGCAAGTCTTGACAATGCTTCAGGCTGAAGGAACAATGCATCACTTCAGAAGTATTTGTCAGGTGAATAGAAATTTCCTTGAACGGGGCCACCACCACCTTCGCCAGCTCCTCCTCCTGAGACTCATACAGGCAGCCCAAGACCTCCTTCAGGTCGGTCACGGATAAGGGCTTATTTGCATGAAGATGTGCTTTGCATTGCAGCAATTCCTGTTTGATGTCCGGTGACATCCGGCAGCCAAAAGTGGCCTCCAACTCCTTGGCTCTCTTCTCGTTAGCGAGGCCGAATAAGAAGTGTCCTACTTGAATCAGGTCGGGGTTCTTGAGTCTTTCTTCTCCGGAAAGCAGCTTCTGTACGTCCCCGATGTCCCAGGCGTGGCCGTCCCTGTCCTCCCCCTCCTCCTTCTCCAGGGCGTAGAACAGGGCAGTGAGAAACTGCTGGAAGCTGAGGTGGATGAAGGAGTAGCAGCCTTTGGAGACTCTGTCCTGGCGGAGGATGTCTCCGTCCAGGAACAGACGGAGGTCGGACTCCTGCACCCCGAGCCTTTCCAGGTCCTCTCGGTGGAACACGGACATCTGCGCCCACAGGCCCTGCGCGGCCAGGAGGCTCAGCGTCCGCAGCGCGCCCCGCAGCTGTGCGCCCTGCGGGAACCGGCTGCAGAGGAAACGCAGGAACAGCCCCGTGCGGGTGAGGCAGGTGGGGACCGGGTCCTCCCCCTTCTCCATCTGCAGCTTCAGAGTCGTGCACACAATCCAGCACACCGCGGGGGCCGAGCCCAGCTGGAACAGGGCCGCGTTGCTCCTCATTAGCTCAAAGGCACGCATGGCTTGGTCCTCGTCTCCAAAGTGTCTCAGGAAATAGGCCCTCCTGTCCTCCTCCAGGAAGCCCTCCACCCTTACGTAGATCGGCTGCTGCGCCAGGAGCTGGAGGTCCCTCAGTGCCCTGGGCCGCGTGGTGACCAGCAAGGCTGCCCTGGGTAACATCTTCCTCTTCAGCAAACTCCCCAGGAGGACGGGCACCGGCTTCTTCTTCTCCCAGTCCCCGCAGATGTCCTGGATCAGCGCCCCAGGTGGGACTTTCAGCTCATCAAGGCCATCGACCACGAACAGGATTCTCTGTGCTTGGGCTAGGATGCTTGGAATGTCATCCTGCAATTCAGGCCAGTCTTTGGAGATCAGCTCTGCAAAACTGCAGGGGCCCATGCGGCTGAGCTCCTTGCAGCTGAGGTAGAACGCGTATCTGAGCGTCGGGCTGAGGTTGCAGTCTGTCCAGTCCAGCATACACTTTTTGGCCAGCGTGGTTTTCCCCACGCCTGCGGGGCCGTGCAGCACCACCGTGTAAGGTGTTAGCTTCCTGGGTGTTCTGGGATTCAAGAATGGAATGAACCGTTGGTTTCTCAGAGTGACGTCGTCATGGAAATTGTCAATGTCTCCTTGCCAAAAGGTGTTCTTCCAGACCAAAGACTGTTTCTCCATTGAATTTCTCCATCCTTCCTTTTCACCTGCAGTGACAGCCCATAGGACAGTTGAGGTTGATGATGATGATTTTCTGAATTATTTTGTCAAGTACCAGAAATGAGGGCCAGGCACGGTGTCTCATGCTTGTAATCCCGGCACTTTGGGAGGCCAAGGTGGGTGGATCACTTGAGGTCAGGAGTTCAAGACCAGCCTGGCCAAGATAGTGAAACCCCATCTCTACTAAAAATACAAAACATTAGCTGGGGGTAGTGGCGGCCGCCTGTAATCCCGGCTACTCAGGAGGCTGAGGCAGAGAATTGCTTGAACCCGGGAGGCAGAGGTTGCAATGAGCAGAGACGGAGCCACTACACTCCAGCCTGGGCTACAGAGCAAGATTCCGTCTCAAAAAAAAAAAAAACTACCAGAAATGAATAAAACCAGGAAGAAGTGATGCACCTTGCATGCTCTCAAACACCAAACTCATGACCATAGGACCGTATTTACCCACCTGGCTTTGCTAACTCCGAGTCTTCTTCTGCATCTCCCAGCTCAGGATTATCTATTTCTTGCACCTGTCCGTCCTCTGTAAAATACTTAGATGTAAGCCTGACACAGTAATTTACACTTCGTAAATCAGACATTATTGTACATAAAGTGTCAGCCAGGCATGGTGGCTCATGCCTGTAATCACAGCACTTTGGAAGGCTGAGGTGGGCGGATCACAAGGTCAGGAGATCAAGACCAGCCTGGCCAACATGGCAAAACCCCATCTCTACTAAAAATACAAAAAAAAAAAAATTAGCCAGGTGTGGTGAAACACGCCTGTAATCCCAGCTACTCCGGAGGCTGAGATAGGAGAATCACTTGAACCCAGAGGCGGAGGTTGCAGTGAGCCCAGATCTCGCCACTGCACTCCAGCCTTACACTCCAGCCTGGGCGACAGAACGAGACTCCATCTCAAAAAAAAAAAAAAAAAAAAAAAAATGACCAGGACACCCCAGGTTCTACTTACCCATCATCTCAGCCTTTGCCATCTTACACAATTCCGTGAGATTCATCTCTTCCAAGATGTTCACAGTCGCATTCCTTATCCAATTTTCTGAGGAGGTGTTGACCAGAATTTCTGCCAGTTTCTTGCCATCAGCCTCTTCCACCTCAGACCATGGGGTCTTCTGTAGCACGTCTTCGAGGGGAAAAGCCCATAAAAGGGATTTGAAACTCTTTAATTCATCCTCGTTCAGCTGCTCCAGAAGGGTCTGCAGAGTCCACTCTAGCTGGGGCGATGTCATAGTGCTCCGAGTATGAGACCTTAGGTTAAGGCTGAAGAACTGGGGGGAAAAAAGGAAAAACAGTTCACGAGTTACCATCATTAAATGAAACCACAGTTTCCTGTGTGCCAAGAACAAGACTGTTCCTGCTGTACAGTGAGTGGTAAAATATTCCAAAGACTGAATTAAGAGACTGAAAATCTGGCCCAGCACGGTGGCTCACGCCTGCGGCCAGGAGTTCGAGACCAGCCTGGCTAACTTGGTAAAAAGAACGAACAAAAGGCTGGGCACGGTGGCTCACGCCTGTAATCCCAGCACTTTGGGAGGCCGAGGCGGATGGATCACGATATCAGGAGATCGAGACCATCCTGGCTAACACAGTGAAACCCCTGCCTCTACTAAAAAAATACAAAAAATTAGCAGGGCGTGGTGGCGGGCACCTGTAGTCCCAGCTACTCGGGAGGCTGAGGCAGGAGAATGGTGTGAACCCGGGAAGTGGAGCTTGCAGTGAGCAGAGATCTCACCATTGCACTCCAGCCTGGGCGACAGAGCGAGACTCCGTCTCAAAAAAAAAAAAAAAAAAAAAAAAAAGAATACAAAGAATGAAGGGTCAGTGGTATGCTAGGGCCAGCCCGTGCTGCCTAATGGGGGCTTCCTATATGTACCTATACCAACGTCCATGGGCTGTGATTTCACACTGATAGTACAAAATCACAAGGGGAGTGTTTATGCCACAGAAATCAGCAAACACGGCAGGGCGCGGTGGCTCACGCCTGTAATCCCAGCACTTTGGGAGGCCAAGGCGGGTGGATAACCTGAGGTCGGGAGCTCAAGACCAGCCTGACCAACACGGCGAAACCCCATCTCTACTAAAAATACAGAAATTACAGGCGGGTGCCTGTAATCCCAGCTACTCAGGAGGCCGAGACAGGAGAATCACACTTGAACCTGGGAGGTGGAGGTTGCATGATCTGAGATCACGCCATTGCACTCGAGCCTCGGCAACAAGAACAAGACTCTGTCTCAAACAAACAAAAAAACAAATCAGCAAACACTACAAACCAAGACTTCCTCGCCACCAACCCTCAGAGCCACTTGTTTAACATTTCAGCCCACCACTGAATGACACATTGAAAACAAATAGCAAGAGGACAGATATAAATATAACTGTACTGGCCGGGTATGGTGGCTCAGGCCTGGAATCCCAGCACTTTGGGAGGCTGAGGCAGGTGGATCGCCTGATGTCAGGAGTTTGAGACCCGCCTGGCCCACATGGTGAAACCCCATCTCTACTAAAAATACAAAAGCTAGCCAAGTGTAGTGGTAGGAACCTGTAATCCCAGGTACGTGGGAGGCTGAGGCAGGAGAATCGCTTGAACCCAGGAGGCGGAGGTTGCAGTGAGCTGAGATAGCGCCATTGTACTCCAGCCTGGGCAACAAGAGCGAAACTCTATCTCAAAAAAAAAAAACTTAGCCAGGCCTGGTGGAACATACCCGTAGTCCCAGATACTTGGGAGGCTGACACAGGAGGATTGTTTGAGCCTACGATTTGGAGGTTGCAGTGAGCCAGCCACTGCACGCCAGCCTGGGTGACAGAGTGAGGCCCTGTCTCAAAAGTAAGTAACTAATGGCCGGGTGCGGTGGCTCACGCCTGTAATCCCAGCACTTTGGGAGGCCGAGGCAGGCGGATCACGAGGTCAGGAGATCGAGACCATCCTGGCTAACACGGTGAAACCCCGTCTCTACTAAAAATACAAACAATTAGCCGGGCGTGGTGGCGGGCGCCTGTAGTCCCAGCTACTCGGGAGGCTGAGGCAGGAGAATGGCGGGAACCCGGGAGGCGGAGCTTGCAGTGAGCGGAGATCGCGCCACCGCACTCCAGCCTGGGCGACAGAGCGAGACTCCGTCTGGGTTGGGGGGGCGGGGGGAAGAGGCAGCCTGGAAAATAAATAACAGAAAAAGTGACTTGCCAAGCCCGGGTGCTGATAGAGGTGGACAGCTTTACCCTTGGAGGGAACAGCAAATCTTTTTCCCCAGCTGTGACGTGTGGGGAAAAGGAGGACAGATCAGACTGTTACTGTGTCTATGTAGAAAGAAATAGACATAAGAGACTCCATTTTGTTCTGTACTAAGAAAAATTCTTCTGCCTTGAGATGCTGTTAACCTGTAACCCTAGCCCCAACCCTGTGCTCCCAGAAACATGTGCTGTGTCACACGTGGGTTTAGGGCTATGCAGGATGTGCTTTGTTAAACAGATGCTTGAAGGCAGCATGCTTGTTAAAAGTCATCACCACTCTCTAATCTCAAGCACCCAGGGACACAATACACTGCGGAAGGCTGCAGGGACCTCTGCCTAGAAAAGCCAGGTATTGTCCAAAGTTTCTCCCCATGTGATAGCCTGAGATAAGGCCTCGTGGGAAGGGAAAGACCAGACCGTACCCCAGCCCGACACCCGTAAAGGGTCTGTGCTGAAGAGGATTAGTATAAGAGGAAGGCCTTTTTGCAGTTAAGAGGAAGGTATCTGTCTCCTGCTCGTCCCTGGGCAATGGAATGTCTCGGTGTAAAACCCGATGGTATGTTCCATCCACCGAGATAGGGGAAAACCGCCTTAGGGCTGGAGGTGACACATGCTGGCAGCAATACTGCTCTTTAATGCACCAGATATGTTTATGTATGAGCACATCAAGGCACAGCACATTTCCTAACCTTGTTTATGACACAGACATTTGCTCACATGTTTTCCTGCTGACCCTCTCCCCACTGTTACCCTATTGTCCTGCCACATCCCCGTCTCCGAGATGGTAGAGATAATGACCAATAAATACTGAAGGAACTCAGAGACCCGGCCGGCGCGGGTCTCCTGAGCCCACTTTTCTTTCTGTGTACTTTGTCTCTGTGTCTCTTTCTTTTCTCAGTCTCTCGTCCCACCTGACAAGAAACACCCACAGGTGTGGAGGGGCAGGCCACCCCTTCAGTGAGGTATAATTACATATATCCTATTTTAGGATGGAGCAGGAAGAGCATGAGAGCCCAGGAGTTCCAGACCAGCCTGGGCGACACAAGGAGACCTTGTCTCTATTTTTTAAGTATTTTTAAAGTAATATATACAACGTTTACTTGTCAAAGTGTACAGCATGGAGCGATGTTATATATACAGTGAAATGATTACCACAATCCAGCTAATTAACATATCCACTGCTTCATATAGTTGCCTTTCGTTTTTGCAGTGACAACGCTTGATGTACTTAGAAAAATTCAGGGTTTTTTGGCCAGGCACGGTGGCTCACGCCTGTAATCCCAGCACTATGGGAGGCCGAGGCGGGCAGATCACAAGGTGAGGAGCTCAAGACCATCCTGGCTAACACGGTGAAACCCCGTCTCTACTAAAAATACAAAAAAAAAATTAGCCGGGCATGGTGGCGGGCGCCTGTAGTCCCAGCTACTTGGGAGGCTGAGGCAGGAGAATGGCTTGAACCTGGGAGGCGGAGCTTGCAGTGAGCCAAGATCGCGCCACTGCACTCCAGCCTGGGCGAGTGAGACTCCCTCTCAAAAAAAAAAAAAAAAAGAAAAGAAAAGAAAAATTCAGGGTTTTTTTTTTCTTTTTCAGAAAGTCTTGCTCTGTCGCCCAGGCTGGAGTGCAATGGTGCGAGGCTTACCACAACCTCCTCTTCCCGGGTTCAAGCGATTCTCCTGCCTCGGCCTCCCAAGTAGCTGGGATTACAGGTATGCCCCACCACACCTAATTTTTTTTGTATTTTTAGTACAAACGGGGTTTCACCATGTTGGCCAGGCTGGTCTTGAACTCCTGACCTCAGGTGATCTGCCCACCTCAGCCTCCCAAAGTGCTGGGATTACAGGTATGAGCCACCAGGCCTGGCCAAGTATTTTTTTTCCCAAGTACATTTTTTTCTTTTTTTCTTTTTTTTGAGATGGAGTCTCCCTCTGTTGCCCAGGCTGGAGTGCAGTGGCACAATCTCGACTCACTGCAACCTCCACCTCCCAGGTTCAAGTGATTCTAGTGCCTCAGCCTCTCAAGAAGCTGGGATTACAGGCGCACCGCATCACGCCGGGCTAGTTTTTGTATTTTTAGTAGAGACAGGGTTTCTTGTTTTTTTCTGAGATGGAGTCTTGCTCTGTCACCCAGGCTGGAGTGCAGTGGCGCGATCTGGGCTCACTGCAAGCTCCGCCTCCCAGGTTCACGCCATTCTCCTGCCTCAGCCTCCCAAGTAGCTGGGACTACAGGCGCCCGCCACTATGCCCAGCTAATTTTTTTTGTATTTTTAGTAGAGATGGGGTTTCACCGTGTTAGCCAGGATGGTCTCGATCTTCTGACCTCGTGATCCGCCCGCCTCGGCCTCCCATAGTGCTGGGATTACAGGCGTGAGCCACCGCGCCCGGCCGAGACAGGGTTTCTCTATGTTGGCCAGGCTGGCCTCGAACTCCTGACCTCAGCTGATCCACCCGCCTCGGCCTCCCAAAGTGCTGGGATCACAGGCGTGAGCCACCGCATCTGGCCATTTACATTTTTTTTTTTTTTTGATGCAGCATTTCACTCTGGTTGCCCAGGCTGGAGTGCAGTGGCGCAATCTCAGCTCACCGCAACCTCCGCCTCCCGGGTTCAAGTGATTCTCCTGCCTCAGCCTCCCGAGTAGCTGGGATTACAGGCATGTGCCACCACGCCCAGCTAATTTTGTATTTTTAGTAGAGATGGGGTTTCTCCATGTTGGTCAGGCTGGTCTCAAACTCCCGGCCTCAGGTGATCTGAAAGTGCTGGGATTACAGGCGTGAGCCACCGCGCCCAGCCTACTTTTTTTTTTTTTTAAACAGGGTCTTCATCTCATCCAGGCTGGAGTGCAGTGGCTCAATCACACCTCATTGCAGCCCCCACCTCCTGGCTCAGGTGATCCTCCCACCTCACCCCACAAGTAGCTTGGACACAGCACAAGGTCTGGCCTTCTTTGTTTTTTGAGACGGAGTCGCACTCTGTCTCCCAGGCTGGAGTGCAGTGGCGCGATCTCAGCTCATTGCAACCTCCCCCTCCTAGGTTTAAGCTATTCTCCTGCCTCAACCTTCCAAGTAACTGGGATTACAGGCATGCACCACCACACCTGGCTAATTTTTGTGTTTTTAGTAGAGACAGGGTTTCACCATTTTGGGCAGGCTGGTCTCAAACTTCTGGCCTCAAGTGATCCACCCGCCTCGGCCTCCCAAAGTGTTGGGATAACAGGCATGAACCACTGTGCCTGGCCTTATATTTTTTTGTAATGACAGAGTTTTACCATGTTGCCCAGGCTAGTCTCAATCTCCTGAACTCCTCTAAACTATATTTGAATAGAAGTCCTTAAGACATTAGGCCAGGCGTGGTGGCTCACACCTGGAATCCCAGCACTTTGGGAGGCCGAGGCAGACAGATTACCTAAAGTCAGGAGTTCAAGACCAGCCTGGCCAACATGGTGAGACCCCGTCTCTACTAAAAATACAAAAATTAGCTGGGCATGGTGGCACGTGCCTGTAGTCCCAGCTACTCAGGAGGCTGAGGCAGGAGAATGGCGGGTGAACCCAGGAGGCGGAGTTTGCAGCGAACCAAGATCACGCCACTGCACTCCAGCCTGGGCGACAGAGGGAGACTCCGTCTCAAAAAAAAAAAAATCAAAGATCCTTCCAGCATCCTCGCACCAACCATTAAGGCTTGGGAAGGGCTATGGTGGAAACTCAACCAATAGCTTCTTCTCCCTTAAACGAGAAGACAAAGAAATCGATGCAAGAACCAGCACTCACCTCCCTCAGGTCAGGTCTTGCTTCCAGCCTGTGTTTCCTGCAAAGGAAACGGATAAAAAGGGGAGGTCTCTGGCCCTTGGTACGCTAGGTGGAGAGACAGCTTTCCCGCCCAGGGTGGAACCGCCCCACTGAGATTAACATTGGGTGGCTCCCAACCACTGACCTCAGGCTCACCTTGACATCACCTGGGCCCCATCCTCAGGGATTTGGCTGTAATTGGGCTTCAGTGGGCTTTGGAGAATTACGGCTTGCTGAATCTCCCCAGGTGAGATTAATGTGCAATTCCCTTCCTAGACCACCCGGGCCAGGTGTGATAGGCGACAGAACAGGAAATACACATTTTGGGTTTTGCAGGGTACCTGGCTCCCAGCTTTAAAAACTCTTGTAGAGAAAAAAAATTAAACAAAAATAAATAAAAATTAAAAAAAAAGAGGACAAAAACTCCCGTGACTTCCTAAGTTACAAATACAATAAGTCTACTTTGTGGCCAACTGTGGTGCCTCCTGCCTATAAATCCCAGCAGGCTGAGAGGCCTAGGCCAGTGGATCCCTAGGGGCCAGGAGTTTGATACCAGCCTAGGCAACATAGCAAGATGCCATCTCTTCAAAAATATTTAATAATTAGCCATGCATAGGCTGGGCGTGGTAGCTCATGCCTGTAGTCCCAGCAATTTGGGAAGCCGAGGCGGGTGGATCACCTGAGGTCAGGAGTTGGAGACCAGACTGGCCAACGTGGTGAAACTCTGTCTCTACTAAACATACAAAAAATTAGCCAGGTGTGGTGGCAGGTGCCTGTAATCCCAGCTACTCGGGAGGCTGAGACAGGACAATCACTTGAACTAGGGAGGTGGAGGGTGAGTGAGGCACGATCACGCCATTGCACTCCAGCCTGGGTGACAAGAGCAAGACTGTCTCAAAAACAAAAACAAAAAAATTAGCCATACATGATGGGCTGCACCTGTAATCCCAGCTATTCAGGAGGCTGAGGTGGGAGGATCACCTGAGCTCAGGAGTTTGAGGCTGCAGTGAGCTGTGACTGGCCATCTCACTCCAGCCTAGGCCACAGAGTGAGACCCAGTCTCAAAAAAATAAATAGATAACTGATATTTAATTTTTTTTTTTGGATGGAGTCTTGCTCTGTGGCCCAGGCTGGAGTGCAGTGGTGCAATCTCCATTCTTGCAACCTCTGCCTTCCAGGTTCAAGCAATTCTGATGCCTCAGCTTCCCAAGTAGCTGGGACTGCAGGCACATGCCACCATGCCCAACTAATTTTTTGTATTTTTAGTAGAGACAGGGTTTCACCATATTGGTCAGGCTGGTCTCAAACTCCTGATGTCAGGTGATTACAGGCATGAGCCACCGCACCTGGCCTAAAATTGTTTTTAAATAAAACAGTGTATGTTGTGGAAAGCATTCAGCACAGAATTTTGGTAGTTTAAACTGTTAATTTAATGGAAGCAAATGGTCCCACAAATGAAGATGTATATATCAGTTGCAGCATGCCATCTATAGAAATAGGCACTATGGAGGCCTGGCATGGTGGCTCACACCTGTAATCCCTGCACTTTGGAAGGCTGAGGCAGGTGGATCATCTGAGGTCAGCAGTTCGAGACCAACCTGGGCAACATGGCAAAAAACCCCTGGCTACTAAAAATAAAGAATTAGCCAGGCATGGTGGTGTGCACCTGTAATCCCAGCTACTCAGGAGGCTGAGGCGTAAGAATTGATTGAACCTGGGAGTTGGAGGTTGCCGTGAGCCGAGATTGCACCACTGCGCTCCAGCCTGGGCGACAGAGACTCCATCTTTAAAAAAAAAAAAAAAAGATGGCCAGGCGCAGTGGTTCATGAATGTAATCCCAGCACTTTGGGAGGCTGAGGCGGGAGGACTGCCTGAGTCCAGGAGTTCAAGACCAGCCTGGGCAATATGGCGAGACTCCCTCTCTGAAGAAAAAGAAAATAAAAACAATAAAAATAAATTATATTCTAGCTGACAAAAAGAGAGAGAGAGTATATTTTGTTAAAACATTTGGCCTTTAGTCCTAGAGCAGCTATGGAGAGATAAACATGAAAGAGGTATCTCTTGTTATACATACCCAGGCCCTGCAACCACACCTGAGTTTATGTAAATGAGGTGACTTTTGGAAAGCCCCTAGATAACCCCACAAGTGCGAGGGACTGGCTGCCAAAGAAACCGTCAGTGATTAGACATTGGGAACTTTCAGCCCCAGGCTCCAAGTGGCCTCCAGGGAGGGGAGAGGGGCTGAAGGTTGAATTGATTATGAACTGCCAGCTATGTGATCAGCATTGCCCACCTAAGGAATCCTCCATAAACCCCAAAAGAAAAGGGTTTGGGCCGGGTGTCCTGTGGCTCATGCCCGTAATCCCAACGCTTTGGGAGGCCTAGATGGGAGGATTGCTTGAGCCCAAGAATTCTAGGCCAGTCTGGACAAAATAGCAAGACCCTGGCTCTACAAAAAATAAAAAATTAGCCAGGCGTGGTGGAGTGCACCTGTAGACCCAGCTACTCAGGAGGCTGAGGCATGAGAATCACTTGAACGCAGGAGACAGAGGCTGCAGTGAGCTGAGATAGCGCCACTGCACTCCAGCCTGGGTGACGGAGTTAGACTGTCTCAAAAAAAAAAAAAACCAGGAAAGAGTTCAGAAGAGCTTCCTGGTTGGTGAACCCGGGTGCATTCGTGTGCCAGGACTGTGGTGCACCCCAGGTCCACAGGGACAGAAGCTCCTGCACTTCGGACTCCTCTAAACCTCCCCCTACGCATCTCTTCCTTGGCTGTTCATTTGTATCCTTTAAAATATGAAAGGGCGGGTTGCCCCTCCACACCTGTGGGCATTTCTCGTTAGGTGGAAGGAGAGACTTGGAAAAGAAAGAGACACAGACAAAGTATAGAGAAAGAAATAAGGGGACCCAGGGGACCAGCATTCAGCATATGGAGGATCCCGCCAGCTTCTGAGTTCCCTTAGTATTTATTGATCATTTTGGGGTGTTTCTCAGAGAGGGGGATGTGGCAGGGTCATAGGATAATAGTGGAGGGAAGGTCAGCAGATAAACACGTTAACAAAGGTCTCTGCATCATAGACAAGGTAAAGAACTAAGTGCTGTGCTTTAGATATGCATACACATAAACATCTCAATGCCTTACGGAGCAGTATTGCTGCCCGCATGTCCCACCTCCAGCCCTAAGGCGGTTTTCCCCTATCTCAGTATATGGAATATACAATCGGGGTTTACACCCATACATTCCATTGCCCAGGGACGAGCAGGAGACAGATGCCTTCCTCTTGTCTCAACTGCAAAGAGGTGTTCCTTCCTCTTTTACTAATCCGCCTCAGCACAGACCCTTTACTGGTGTCGGGCTGAGGGACGGTCAGGTCTTTCCCTTCCCATGAGACCATATTTCAGGCTATCACATGGGGAGAAACCCTGGACAATACCTGGCTTTCCTAGGCAGAGGTCCCTGCGGCCTTCCGCAGTGTTTGTGTCCCTGGGTACTTGAGATTAGGGAGTGGTGATGACTCTTAAGGAGCATGCTGCCTTCAAGCATTTGTTTAACAAAGCACATCTTGCACAGCCCTTAATCCATTTAACCCTGAGTGGACACAGCACATGTTTCAGAGAGCACAGGGTTGGGGGTAAGGTCATAGATTAACAGCATCTCAAGGCAGAAGAATTTGTCTTAGTACAGAACAAAATGAAGTCTCCTGTGTCTACTTCTTTCTACACAGACACAGTTACAATCTGATCTCTCTTTCTTTTCCCCACAAAAATATCCTTTGTAGACCAGGCACAGTGGCTCAGGCCTGTAATCCCAGCACTTTGGGAGGCTGAGGCAGATGGATCACTTAAGGTCAGGAGTTTGAGACCAGCCCAGCCAGCATGGTGAAACTGCGTCTCTACAAAAATACAAAAATTAGCGGGGCATGGTAGTTCAACGCCTGTAATCCCAGCTACTCGAGAGGCTGAGGCAGAATTGTTTGAACCCGGGAGGCAGAGGCAGAGGTTGCAGTGAGCCGAGGTCGCACGACTGCACTCCAGCCTGGGTGCAACAGAGTGAGACTCCATCTCAAAAAACAAAAAACAAAAACAAAAACAAAACAAAAAATGAAAACCCACTTTTAGTAAAAAAAATAAAAATGAAAAAATGTGAATCAGGCTGCACTCTGGCCCACATCCTGGCTGCTGTGTATCACGTGGCTCTAGACACTGCACTTTTGCCTCCTCATCATTGCTGTAGATAGGATTTCTGACAGCAGGGTCATTAGACGAATTTTTTTTTTTTTTTGAGACGGAGTCTCGCTCTGTCGCCCAGGCTGGAGGGCAGTGGCGCAATCTCTGCTCACTGCAAGCTCCGCCTCCCGGGTTCACACAATTCTCCTGCCTCAGCCTCCCGAATAGCTGGGACTACAGGTGCCTGCAACCATGCCTGGCTAATTTTTTTTGTATTTTTAGTAGAGACGCGGTTTCACCATGTTAGCCAGGATGGTCTCGATCTCCTGACCTCGTGATCCTCCCGCCTAGGCCTCCCAAAGTGCTGGGATTACAGGCGTGAGCCACCGCGCCCGGCCCCATTAGACAAATTTGTATCTGCACGGTTCCTACAGATAAACTCTGGGACATTAGAATTATAAGGCTTTTGTTTAAGGATGGTTTCAGATGTTTTTCAGACCTTGAATTCCAGCCAAATAGCTGACACTAACCAGTTTGAAGACCCCAGTGAGGAATGGGATCAGCATGAGAACACTGCGTCTTCATGCCCCTGTCTCCGCCAGCAGTCAGCATGGCCACACTCTGGCCCACACCAAAACACTTAAAAACCCTAGCCCCGGCCGGGTGCAGAGGCTCACACCTGTAACTCCAGCACTTTGGGAGGCCAAGGCAGGTGAATCACCTGAGGTCAAGAGTTCAAGACCAGCCTGGCCAACATAGTGAAACCCCGTTTCTACTAAAAACACAAAAAATTAGTCGGGCGTGGTAGCGGGTGCCTGTAACCCCAGCTACTCAGGAGGCTGAGGCAAGAGAATTACTTGAACCTGGGAGGCGGAGGTTGCAGTGAGCAAAGATCCTGCCACTGCACTCCAGCCTGGGTGACAAAGCAAAACTCCATCTCAAAAAAAAAAAAAACCCTAGACCCAAACTTCTGGGGGAGATGGATTGGAGGTTTCCTCCCATCTCCTCATTCCTCAGCCCTGTGATTAAACTTCCTTCTCTTCTGCAACACAGTGACCCGGCAAATTGACTCACAGCGTGCATTGGGCAACGGACCTACTGTCAGAGGCGTGTAACCAGGGCAACTCCATCTTGAATAGGAGCTGACTAAAATAAGGCTGAGACCTACCGGGCTGCATTCCCAGACAGTTAAGGCATTCTCCAAAAAAAACAAAAATGACAGGCACGGTGGCCCAGCACTTTGGGAGGCCGAGGCGGGTGGATTACCCGAAGTAGAGTTTGAGACCAGCCTGGCCAACACGGTGAAACCCCGTCTCTACTGAAAATACAAAAATTAGTCAGGCGTGGTGGCTCGTGCCTGTAATCCCACCTACTTGCGAGGCTGAGGCAGGAGAATCGCTTGAGCCGGGGAGGCGGAGGTTGCAGTAAAAAGAAAAAAAAAAGCATTCTAAGTCACAGGATGAGATAAGTCAGCACAAGATACAGGTCATAAGGACCTTGCTGATAACACAGGTAGCAATGTAGCAGGACCAGCCACAGACAAAACTCCTCAGACACCGAGTTAAAGAAGAAAGGGGTTTATCCGGCCAGGGGCATCGGCAAGACTCCCGTCTCAAGAGCCGAGATCCCCAAGTGAGCAATTCCTGTCCCTTTTAAGGGCTCACAACTCTAAGGGGGTGTGCGTGAGAGGGTCGTGATCGACTGAGCAAGCAGGGGGTACGTGACTGGGGGCTGCATGCACTGGTAATCAGATCCAAACAAAACAGGATAGGGATTTTCACAGTGCTTTTCTATACAATGTCTGTAATCTATAGATAACCGATTAGGTCAGGGGTCAATCTTTAACTACCAGGCCCAGGGTGTGGCGCCGGGCTGTCTGCTTGTGGATTTCATTCCTGGGCCGCGGGGCTGTCTGCTTGTGGATTTCATTCCTGGGGCGCGGGGCTGTCTGCTTGTGGATTTCATTTCTGCCTTTTAGTTTTTACTTTTTCTTTCTTTGGAGGTGGAAATTGGGCATAAGACAATATGAGGGGTGGTCTCCTCCCTTAGCAATAAAGAATCCAGCCAGGCCGGGCGCGGTGGCTCACACCTGTAATCCCAGCACTTTCGGGGGCTGAGGCGGGTGGATCACACGGTCAGGAGATTGAGACCATCCTGGCTAACACGGTGAAACCATCTCTACTAAAAAAAAAAAATACAAAAAATTAGCTGGGCGTGGTGGCGGGCGCCTGTAGTCCCAGCTACTCGGGAGGCTGAGGCAGGAGAACGGCGTGAACCCGGGTGATGGAGCTTGCAGTGAGCGGAGATCGCGCCACTGCACTCCAGCCTGGGTGACAGAGCGAGACTCCGTCTCAAAAAAATAAAAAATAAATAAAAATAAATAAAGCATCCAGTCAAACTCCATCAAAACCAAGATAGTGACGAGAGTAACCTCTGGTTGTCCTCACCGCTCCACTCCCAGCAGCCCCATGACAGTTTACAAATGCCATGGCAATGTCAGGAAGTTACCCTATGCTGTCTAAAAAGGGGAGGCATGAATAATCCACCCCTTGTTTAGCATATCCATAGAAATAACCATAAAAATGGGCAACCGGCCGGGCGCGGTGGTCACGCCTGTAATCCCAGCACTTTGGGAGGCCGAGGCGGGTGGATCATGAGGTCAGGAGATTGAGACCATCCTGGCTAACACGGTGAAATCCCATCTCTACTAAAAAAAAATACAACTAATTAGCTGGGTGCGGTGGCGGGCGCCTGTAGTCCCAGCTACTCGGGAGGCTGAGGCAGGAGAATGGCCTGAACCCAGGAGGCGGAGCTTGCAGTGAGCCGAGATAGTGCCACTGCACTCTGGCCTGGTGAAAGAGCGAGACTCCGTCTCAAAAAAAAAAAAAAAAAAAAAAAAGGGCAACCGAGGCCGGACGTGGTGGCTTACGCCTGTAATCCCAACACTTTGGGAGGCCGAGGCGGGCATATCACCTGAGCTCAGGAGGTCAAGATCAGCCTGGCCAACATGGTGAAACCCCATCTCTTACTAAAAATACAAAAATTAGCCAGACGTGATGGCAGGCACCTGTAATCCCAGCTACTCAGGAGGCTGAGGCAGGAGAATCACTTGAACTGAAGTGATTCAAGGCAGAGGTTTCAGTGAGCCAAGATCACGCCACTGCACTCCAGCCTGGGCGACAAGAGCAAAACTCCATCTCAAAAAAAATAAGGGCAACTAGCAGCCCTATGGGCTGCTGTCTATGGAGTAGCTATTCTTTTACTCCTTCACTTTCCTAATAAGCTTGCTTCCACTTTACTCCATAGTCTCGCCCTGAATTCTTTCTGGTATGAGATTCAAGAACCCACCATGCCCAGCTCGTCCTTACTTGCTTTTAAAAAATATCATTGGTGGCCGGGCGCGGTGGCTCACGCCTGCAATCCCAGCACTTTGGGAGGCCAAGGCTGGCGGATCACCTGAGGTCCGAAGTTTGAGACCAGCCTGACCAACATGGAGAAACCCCGTCTCTACTAAAATACAAAAAAATTAGCTGGGTGTGGTGGTGCGTGCCTGTAATCCCAGCTACTCAGGAGGCTGAGGCAGGAGAATCACTTGAACCCGGGTGGCAGAGGTTGCAGTGAGCCAAGATCATGCCATTGCACTCCAGCCTGGGCAACAAGAGTGAAACTCCGTCTCAAAAATAAATAAATAAAATCATTGGAATAATTTTCTTCTTTAGGAAGAGCAGCCTTGGGCCAGGCATGGTGGCACATGCCTGGAATCCCCGAACTTTGGGCAGCCCAGGTAGGTGGATTGCTTGAGTTCAAGAGTTCCAGACCAGCCTGGACAACATGATGAAACCTCTTCTTGATCAAATATACAGAATTTCGACTGAGCACAGTGGCTGTAAGCCCAGCATGTTGGGAAGCTGAGGTGGGTGAATCATTTGAGGTCAGACCAGCCTGACTAACATGGCGAAACCCCATCTCTACAAAAAATACAAAAGTTAGCCAGGAGGTCGTGGGCGCCTGTGGTCCCAGCTACTCGGGAGGCTGAGGCAGGAGAATGACGTGAATCCCGGAGTCGTAGGTTGCAGTGAGCCAAGATCGTGCCACTGCACTTCAGCCTGGGCGACACAGCAAGACTGAGGTTGCAGTGAGCTGTGATCCTCAACCTCCTGGGTTCAAGGGATTGTCGAGCCTCAGCCTCCCAAGTAGCTGGGATTATAGACATTCGCTCCCATGCCTGGCTAATTTTTGTATTGCAAAAATGCACTCCAGCCTAGATGACAGGACTGCACTCCAGCCTGGATGACAGAGCAAGACTGTGTCTCAAAAATAAATAAATAAATAAATAAATAGCCAACTGTGATCGTGCATGCCTGTAGTCCCAGCTACTCAGGAGGCCAAGGCAGGAGGATCACTTGAGACTGGGAGGTCATGGCTACAGTGAGCCATGATCTCGCAACTGCACTCCAGCCTGGGCAACAGAGGGAGAGAAAGGAAGGAAGGAGGGAAGGAGGGAAGGAGGGAAGGGAAGGAGGGAAAGGAAGTCAGTCTTGTGGGACAAGGAAGGAAGGAAGGAAGTCAGTCAGTCTTGTGGGACTCAGCCCTGAACCTTTGGGATCTGATGCTGTCCCCAGGTAGGGAGTGTCAGAACTAAATCAAAGGAGAGGACACCCAGCTGGTCTCTGCTGGAGAACTGGTTGTTGGTGGGGAGAAACATACATTTTTGGTGAAGTATTCTGTGTTGAGTGTGAAAGTAGGAAAAACAGGACTGGGTATGGTGGTTCATGCCTGTCATTCCAGGATTTTGGGAGGCCAAGGCAGGCGGATCACTTGAGGTCAGGACTTTGAGACCACCCTGGTGAACATGGCAAAACCCCATCTCTACTAAAAAAAAATACAAAAATTAGCTGGGCGCGGTGGCAGGTGCCTGTAATACCAGCTACTCGGGAGGCTGAGGCAGGAGAATCACTTGAACCCGGGAGGCGGAGGTTGCAGTGAGCTGAGATTGTGCCTTTGCACTCCAGCCTGGGAGACAGAGCAAGACTCTCCCTCAAAAAAAAAAAAAGGCCGGGCGCAGTGGCTCACGCCTATAATATCAGCACTTTGGGAGGCCGAGGCAGGTGGATCACTGACACCCAACACCACGCCTTCTAATTTTTTGCATTTTTAGTAGAAACGGGGTTTCACCATGTTGGCCAGGCTTGTCTCGAACTCCTGTCCTCTGGTGATCCACCTGCCTTGGCCTCCCAAAGTGCTGGAATTACAGGCGTGAACCCAGCAACTTTTCCCCCTTTTATCATACCTTAATTTGCCTCCACCACCCCCAGAAGCTCCAAGTCTCTACGCCTTTTCATTTATGTATGTATGTATTTATTTATTTATTTATTTATTTTATTTTGAGACAGGGTCTCCCTCTATCTCCCAGGCTGCAGTGCAGTGGCGTGATCTTGGCCCACTGCAACCTCCACCTCCCGGGTTCAAGTAATCCTCCTGTCTCAGCCTCCCAAGTAGCTGGGATTACAGGGCACACCACCACACCTGGCTAATTTTTGTATTTTTAGTGGAGACTGGGTTTCACCCTGTTGTCCAGGCTAGTCTCAAACTCCCGACGTCAGGTGATCCACCCATTTCGGTTCCCAAAGTGTTGAGATTACAGACCGTGAGCCACTGGGACGGACACCCCTACTCCTTTCTTCTTCTTCTTCTTTTTTTTTTTT
Source organism: Homo sapiens (assembly GCF_000001405.40). Taxonomy (NCBI): domain Eukaryota; kingdom Metazoa; phylum Chordata; class Mammalia; order Primates; family Hominidae; genus Homo; species Homo sapiens. The sequence continues at coordinate 937,345 of NW_003571056.2, forward strand.
TTTTTGAGATGGAGTCTCCCTTTGAAGCCCAGGCTGGAGTACAATGGTGCGATCTTAGCTCACTGCAGTTTCCTCCTCCCGGGTTCAAGTGATTCTCCTGCCTCAGCCTCCGGAGTAGCTGGGATTACAGGCACACACCACCACACCAGCTAATTTTTGTATTTTTAGCAGAGATGGGGTTTCACCATGTTGGCCAGGCTGGTCTCAAACTCCTGACCTCAGGTGATCCACCCACCTTGGCCTCCCAAACTGCTGGGATCACAGGCGTGAGCCACTGCACCCTACACTCTTATACTCCTTTCTGTAGCTCAGGCAGCTAGATGAGCTTCAATCATCTGGCCCTTCCTCCAGTCTCACATTTTTGTGGGACTCCTGTGCATACATAATTGAATCTGGTTTTTCTTCTGTCAAACTGTTTTGTGTCAATGTAATTCATAGCCCATCCAAAGAACCTAGGAGGGTGGAGGGAATCCATTTTCTCTCCTCCACACTGGAGGGCCATGGAGCCCAAGAGTTCAAGACTGGCCCGGTGTACAAAGTGAGACCCAGTCTCTATTTAAAAAAGATGGGGAGGGGGCCGGGCACGGTGTCTCACGCCTGTAATTCCAGCACTTTGGGAGGCCCAGGTGGGTGGATCACCTGAGGTCAGGAGTCCGAGACTAGCCTGGCCAAGGTGGTGAGACCGTGTCTTTACTAAAAATACAAAATTAGCTTGGTATGGTGGCAGGAGCCTGTAATCCCAGCTACTTGGAAGGCTAGGGCAGGAGAATCGCTTGGTTTGGGATTTTCTCCCTGAGGCACTTGCTATCTCCAGGATTATGGGTCTCAGGTGAAAGAAAGACAAAGAAGGAGAGAGAGACAGAGAGGGACAGGGAAAGAGAATTTCAGACTTATCTAACATTGACACTTAGGAGAAGTAGGGAGAAAGAGGTGGGAAAATAAAGTGGCTAGGTAAAAATGAACATGTCAGTAACAATAATAGCATTAACAATAACTAGTATTGCCGGGTGCAGTGGCTCACGCCTCTAATCCCAGCACTTTGGGACGCCGAGGTGGGCGAATCACAAGGTCAGGAGTTCAAGACCAGCCTGGCCAACATGGTGAAACCCTGTCTCTACTAAAAATACAAAAAGTTAGCTAGCTGGGCATAGTGGTGCATGCCTGTAATCCCAGCTACTCTGGAGGCTGAGGCAGGAGAATCGCTTGAACCCGGGAGGCAAAGGTTGCAGTGAGTCAAGATCAGGCCACTGCACTCCAGCCCAAGGGACAGAGTGAGACTCTGTCTCAAATAATAATAATAATAATAACTAGTGGCCAGGCACAGTGGCTCACGCCTGTAATCCCAGTGTAGCAGGACGAGCCACAGACAAAAACCTCTCAGACACCGAGTTGTAGAAGGAAGGGCTTTATTCAGCTGGGAGCATCGGCAAGCTACTGTCTTAAAATCCAAGCTCCTCGAGTGCACAGTTTCTGTCCCTTTTAAGGGCTCACAACACTAAAGACTGCGCATGAAAGGGTCATGATTGAGCAATCTAGGGGATACATAACAGGGGTTTCGTGCACTGCTGGTCAGAGAGAAAGAATAGGGCAGGGAGTTTCACAGTGTTCTTCTATACAATGCCTGGAATCTATGGATAACATCGGGTTCTAAGTCATGAGTTGATTTTTATCTACTAGGTTTACGCCAGGCAGGCCCAGGCCTGGTTTCGGGTCTGGTTTTGGGTCTGGTGCCTGGCGCCGGGCTACCTGCCTTTGGTTTCACTTCCTTGTTTTTTTCTTTTTCTTTTTTTTTTTTTTTGAGACAGAGTCTTGCTCTGTCGCTAAGGCTGGAGTGCAGTGGCACAATCTCGGCTCACTGCAAGCTCCGCCTCCTGGATTCAAGCAATTCTGCTGCCTCATCCTTCCGAGTAGCTGGGATTACAGGCGCACGCCACCATGCCCGGCTAATTTTTGTATTTTTAATAGAGACGGGGTTTCACCATGTTGGCCAGGCTGGTCTCAAACTCCTGACCTTGTGATCCACCCGCCTTGGCCTCCCAAAGTGCTGGGATTACAGGCGTGAGCCACCGTGCCCGGCCTCCTTGTTTTTTTTCTAAAACAAGTACTGAGTATAAAACAATATAAAACAATATGAGACGGTTTCTCTCTTCCCTCACCAGCACTTTGGGAGGCTGAGGCAGGTGGATCACAAGGTCAGAGTGGATAGCACTTTAGGAGGTTGAGGTGGGAGGATCCCTTGAGCCCAGGAGCTCAAGTCCAGCCTGGGCAACATAGCAAGACCCCCATTTCCAATTTTAGTGTATGTGCTGCCAAAGCAAATACTCTGAGACCCTGTTTCTACAAAAAATAAAAAAATTAAAATTAGTGCTTGGAAAAAAAAATTAGTGCTTGACCAGGAGGCAAGCACACCTCCTCATCCTCTCATGGATGTCTGTCTGTAGAAAGTAAATGGAGACAGCTTCATTTTACCCAACTGCTCCGTTTTAGGTCCGCTCCTGAGCTTCTGTTGTTCCCAGCCATGCAACCCTGGGAGCCGACTCCCGGCTGCAGAGCCTTGTCAGAAGCAGGCAATGTACACAGAGACCCAAGGCCTGGTGTAGACAGGCTTTCACAGACCTGGGCATTTTGTTGAATTGTTTTTGAATTGTGGTTTCTTATCAGTTCATCCGATACTCTGTTCTAACCACGTAGTTCCTCTTTTGGATCTCCAAACCCCTTTGCAGGTTCCATCTACCCGAACCAAACTCACTTATTCCAACAGAAGTCTGGTGTTTCTTGTTTTTTTTGTTTGTTTGTTTCTTTCGTTTTGTTTTTTGAGATGTTGTCTCCCTCTATCACCCAGGCTGGAGTGCAGTGGCGAGATCTCAGCTCACTGCAACCTCTGCTTCCCGGGTTCAAGCAATTCTCCTCCCTCAGCCTCCTGGGTAGCTGGGATTACAGGTGCCTGCCGCCACACCCAGCTAACTTTTGTATTTTTAGTAGAGACGGGATTTCACCATGTTGGCCAGGCTAGTCTCGAGCTCCTGACCTCAAGTGATCCACCCATCTCAGCCTCCCAAAGTGCTGGGATTACAGCCTTAAGCCACCGCGCTCAACCAGAAGTCTGTTTAAATCCATCCTTCTCCCCAGCCACCCATGAGTTATGTGACCTTGGGGTTGCTACTTAACATTTCAGTCTCAATTTCCTCAATAGAACAAAAGTTAGAAGAATTGTAACAAAAGATAGTTTTATTTTTATTTTTATTTTTATTTTTTGAGATGGAGTCTTGCTCTGTCACCTAGGCTGGAGTGCAGTGGTGTGATGGTGGCTCACTGCAAGCTCCGCCTCCCGGATTCACGCCATTCTCCTGCCTCAGCCTCCCAAGTAGCTGGGACTACAGGCACCCGCCACCGTGCCCAGCTAATTTTTTTAATTTTTAGTAGAGACGGGGTTTCACCGTGTTAGCCAGGATGGTCTCGATCTCCTGACCTCGTGATCCGCTTGCCTCGGCCTCCCAAAGTGCTGGGATTACAGGCGTGAGCCACCATGCCCAGCACAAAAGATAATTTCTTAATCCCATGCATTTGAGTCTTAAAAAAATATTCTATATAATTCCAAGGTCAAAGAAGAAATAACAAAGGGCATTTTTAAAAATGCTAGAACTGAGTGGTGGTGAAATTGCTGTTGAAATGTGTTTGTTGCACTGATGGAAATTTATAAATGTAAATATTTATATTAAAATATAAAATAATGGGCCAGGCATAGTGGCTCACACCTGTAATCTCAGTACTTTGGGAGGCCAAGGCGGGAGGGCCATGGAGCCCAGGAGTTCAAGACCGGCCCGGTGTACAAAGTGAGACCCAGTCTCTAGTTAAAAAAGAGGGGGAGTGGGCCAGGCACAGTGTCTCACGCCTGTAATTCCAGCACTTTGGGAGGCCAAAGCAGGTGGATCACCCGAGGTCAGGAGTCCAAGACCAGCCCGGCCAAGGTGGTGAAACCCCGTGTCTACTAAAAATACAAAATTAGCTTGGTATGGTGGCGGGAGCCTATAATCCCAGCTAGGGCAGGAGAATCACTTGAACCCGGGAGGCAGAGGTTGCAGTGAGCCAAGATCATGCCACTGCACTCCAGCCTGGGCAACAACAGAGAGACTTCATCTCTAAATAAATAAATAAATAAATAAAAGAAAATACAAATTTTTTAAAAAAGGTACTGTGGCTGGGCGTGGTGGTTCACACCTGTAATCCCAGCACTTTGGGAAGCCGAGGCAGGTGGATCTCAGATCAGGAGTTCAAGAAGAGCCTGGCCAGCATGGTGAAAACCTATCTGTACTAAAAATTAGCCTGGCATGGTGGCAGGTGCCTGTAGGAGGCTGAGGCAAGAGAATTGCTTGAGCCCCGGAGGCAGAGGTTGCAGTGAGCCGAGACCACACCACTGCACTCCAGCCTGGGCAACAGAGCGAGAGTCTGTCTCAAAAAGGAAACAAAAAAAAAAGTACCTCCAAATTATGGTAGGGTGTCCATATTAAGAAGGTAGAAAAAGGTCGGGGGAAGTGGATGCCTGTAATCCCAGAACTTTGGGAGGCTGAGGCGGGTGGATCACCTGAGGTCAGGAGTTCAAGAACAGCCTGGCCAAAAGGGTATGGTGAAACCCCATCTCTACTAGAACTACAAAATTAGCCGGGCGTGGTGGTACATGCCTGTAATCCCAGCTACACAGGAGTCTGAGGCAGGAGAATCACAGGAAACCGGCAGGCAGAGGTTGCAGTGAGCTGAGATCGCGCCATTGCACTCCAGCCTGGGCGACAAGAGCAAAACTCCATCTCAAAAAAAAAAAAAAGAAAAAATGAAAAAGAATTTATTGAAATGTGCAGTCTGAAAACTGCTCCTGCACATTTTCATTCATCCTTCCTATTCCCTCCATCCCTCAATTTTTTTTTTTTTTTTGAGACAGAGTTTCGCTCTTGTTGCCCAGGCTGGAGTGCAATGGCACGATCTCAGCTCACTGCAACCTCTGCCTCCCAGGTTCCAGCCATTTTCCTGCCTCAGCCTCCAGAATAGCTGGAATTACAGGCATCTGCCACTACGCCTGGCTAATTTTTTGTGTATTTTTAGTAGAGATGGGATTTCACCATGTTGGTCAGGCTGATCTCGAACTCCTGACCTCAGGTGATCCACCCGCCTCGGCCTCCCAAAGTGCTGGGATTACAGGCATGAATCACCACGCCCGGCCCCTCATTTTCTTTTCTTTCTTTCTTTCTTTTTTGTTTGTTTGTTTTTGAGACAGAGTCTTGCTCTGTCACCCAGGCTGGAGTGCAGTGGCGCGATCTCAGCTCACTGCAAGCTCCGCCTCCCGGGTTCACGCCATTCTCCTGCCTCAGCCTCCCGAGTAGCTGGGACTACAGGCGCCCGCCACCACGCCCGGCTAATTTTTTGTATTTTTAGTAGAGACGGGGTTTCACCGTGTTAGCCAGGATGGTCTCCATCTCCTGACCTCGTGATCCGCCCGCCTCGGCCTCCCAAAGTGCTGGGATTACAGGCGTGAGGCACCACACTGGGCCCCCTCACTTTCTTATTCTTTCTAGGATAGGCAACTGAGCGCGGCAGTGAAGAGCTGGGCTTCCGGAAGCTGACAGCTGTTTGTGATCTTCAAGACCTCAGACAGGTTTTCTAAATATGCCTTGCCTTCATTTTCTCAAGGAAAGTGAAAAATGGGTAGGATCATGGCAATCACTACTGTGTAGCAATGTTTAGAGGACTTAATAAGTAAACACAGGGTCAAGCATGGTGGCTCACACCGGAAATCCCAGCACTTTGGGAGGCCGTGGTGGGAAGATTGCTTAAGCCCATGGGGTTGAGACCAGCCTGGGCAACATAGTGAGACCTCCATCTCTATAAAAAATACAAAAATCTAGTCAGGCGTGATGGCGTATGCCTGTAGCCTTCAGTAAGCTATGATTGTGCCACTGCACACCAGCCTAGGCGACAGAGTGAGACCCTGTCTCAAAAAGAAAAAACGAAAAGAAATATAGATGTACATATACATATGTTGGTTCTAAAACATGAAAAAGGCTGGGCGCGGTGGTTCGTGCCTGCAACCCAAGCACTTTGGGAGGCCGAGGCGGGCGGATCACGAGGTCAAGAGTTTGAGACCAGCCTGGCCAACATAGTGAAACCCCATCTCTACTAAAAATACAAAAAAAAGGCTAGGCGCAGTGGCTCATGCCTGTAATCCTAGCACTTTGGGAGGCCGAGGTGAGCAGATTACCTGAGGTTGGGAGTTCAAGACCACCCTGTCCAACATGGTGAAACCCCATCTCTACTAAAAATAAGAAAATTAGCCGGGTACAGTGGCACGCGCCTGTAATCCCAGCTATTCAGGAGGCTGAGGCAGGAGAATCGCTTGAACTCTGGAGGCGGAGGTTGCAGTGAGCCAAGATTGCGCCACTGCACTCCAGCCCGGGCGACAGTGCCAGACTCAGTCTCAGAAAAAAAAAAAGCAAAACAAACAAAGAAACATGAAAAAAAGCTATAAAACCCAACTTTTTTCTTTTTTTTTTTGAGACGGAGTCTCACTCTGTCGCCCAGGGTGGAGTGCAGTGGTGCGGTCTCGGCTCACTGCAACCTCCGCCTCCTGGGTTCAAGCAATTCTCTGCTTCAGCCTCCCAAGTAGCTGGGATTACAGGCACCCGCCACCACGCCCGACTAATTTTTTGTATTTTTAGTTGAGACGGGGTTTCATCATCTTGGCCAGGCTGGTCTTGAAGTCCTGACCTCGTGATCCACCCGCCTTGGCCTCCCAAAGTGCTGGAATTACAGGCGTGAGCCACCGCGCCCGGCCAAAACCCAACTTTTTAGTCTTATTTATATGGTGTTTTTTTTTTTTTTTTTTTTTTTGAGATGGAGCCTTGCTCTGTCGCCCAGGCTGGAGTGCAGTGGCGCGATCTCGGCTCACTGCAAGCTCCGCCTCCCGGGTTCACGCCATTCTCCTGCCTCAGCCTCCCGAGTAGCTGGGACTACAGGTGCCCGCCACCACGCCCGGCTAATTTTTTGTATTTTTAGTAGAGACGGGGTTTCACCGTGTTAGCCAGGATGGTCTCGATCTCCTGACCTCGTGATCCACCTGCCTCGGCCTCCCAAAGTGCTGGGATTACAGGCGTGAGCCACTGTGCCCGGCTATATGTTTACAAAATTAATACTGCCAGCCAGGCACGGTGGCTCACGCCTGTAATCCCAGCACTTTAGGAGGCTGAGGCTGGCAGATCACCTGAGGTCAGGAGTTTGAGACCAGCCTGGCCAGCATGGCAAAACCCCGTCTCTATTGAAAAAAATACAAAAATTAACCAGGCGTTGTGGCGCATGCTTGTAATCTCAGCTACTCGGGAGGCTGAGGCAGGGGAATCACTTGAAGCCGGCAGGCGGAGGCTGCGGGGAGCCGAGATCGTGCCGTTGCACTCCAGCCTGGGGAACAGAGCAAGACTCCATTAAAAATAAAATAATAATAATACTGTGAATGTGAAACTGATGAACTTGGTGCTTTTCATGCGTCTCATAGTTGACGTGTCATTGATATTTCACTTGAAATACGGTTGGATTTTTATTAATAATATACCTGGGGTGATGGGAGAAGGTAGCCAATCACAGCTGAGGCTTCTAAGCGGTGATTCTCAGCCTCGGCCGCAATCACAATTATCTGGGACTCTCGAAAGAACTCCAGGGTCTGGGCAGTCCCAGTGTAACCAATCAAGCAGAATCTCTAGGCGTTCGTGCTTTGAAATGAGGCTCCACATAGGTAAGTTTAACAGGCAGTCAAGATGGAGGACCACAGGTGGAGATCGGGAAGCTCAGGTGAAGGACCGCCCCCCAACACCCCCCGCCCCCAAAAGACCTCTCAGTAATTCCGGTGGATACAGGAAGTGCTCAGCAACGATTACGCCCCGAGGGCCAATCACAGGGCTGCGGCCGAGAAAGAAGCCTTAATAGAGCTTTCTCAACCTGCAGCCCTCATCTCCGCCGGCGAGTAGGGCCAGGTGTTGGGAGGTGAGTAGCTCTCCGGCAGCTCTGCAACTTCATTTCTTTATTTCTCCATTCCACAGTTGGTAAAATTTCTCCTTTTATTTCATATATTTTTTTTCTGAGACGGAGTCTCGCTCTGTCGCCCAGGCTGGAGTGCAGTGGCGCGATCTCTGCTCACTGCAAGCTCCGCCTCCCGGGTTCACGCCATTCTCCTGCCTCAGCCTCCCGAGTAGCTGGGACTACAGGCGCCCGCCACCACGCCCGGCTAATTTTTTGTATTTTTAGTAGGTGGCTCACGCCTGTAATCCCAGCACTTTAGGAGGCTGAGGCTGGCAGATCACCTGAGGTCGGGAGTTTGAGACCAGCCTGGCCAGCATGGCAAAACCCCGTCTCTATTGAAAAAAATACAAAAATTAACCAGGCGTTGTGGCGCATGCTTGTAATCTCAGCTACTCGGGAGGCTGAGGCAGGGGAATCACTTGAAGCCGGCAGGCGGAGGCTGCGGGGAGCCGAGATCGTGCCGTTGCACTCCAGCCTGGGGAACAGAGCAAGACTCCATTAAAAATAAAATAATAATAATACTGTGAATGTGAAACTGATGAACTTGGTGCTTTTCATGCGTCTCATAGTTGACGTGTCATTGATATTTCACTTGAAATACGGTTGGATTTTTATTAATAATATACCTGGGGTGATGGGAGAAGGTAGCCAATCACAGCTGAGGCTTCTAAGCGGTGATTCTCAGCCTCGGCCGCAATCACAGTTATCTGGGACTCTCGAAAGAACTCCAGGGTCTGGGCAGTCCCAGTGTAACCAATCAAGCAGAATCTCTAGGCGTTCGTGCTTTGAAATGAGGCTCCACATAGGTAAGTTTAACAGGCAGTCAAGATGGAGGACCACAGGTGGAGATCCGGAAGCTCAGGTGAAGGACCGCCCCCCAACACCCCCCGCCCCCAAAAGACCTCTCAGTAATTCCGGTGGATACAGGAAGTGCTCAGCAACGATTACGCCCCGAGGGCCAATCACAGGGCTGCGGCCGAGAGAGAAGCCTTATTAGAGCTTTCTCAACCTGCAGCCCTCATCTCCGCCGGCGAGTAGGGCCAGGTGTTGGGAGGTGAGTAGCTCTCCGGCAGCTCTGCAACTTCATTTCTTTATTTCTCCATTCCACAGTTGGTAAAATTTCTCCTTTTATTTCATATATTTTTTTTCTGAGACGGAGTCTCGCTCTGTCGCCCAGGCTGGAGTGCGGTGGCGCGATCTCGGCTCACTGCAAGCTCCGCCTCCCGGGTTCAGGCCATTCTCCTGCCTCAGCCTCCCGAGTAGCTGAGACTACAGGCACCTGCCACTATGCCCAGCTAATTTTTTTGTATTTTTAGTAGAGACGGGGTTTCACCATGTTGGCCAGGCTGGTCTCAGTCCGCCTCGGCCTCCCAAGGTGCCGGGATTACAGGCGTGAGCCACCGCGCCCAGCCTTTTTTTTTTTTTTTTTTTTTTTTTTCTTCTCTTTTTTGAGGGTCTTACTCTGTTTCCCAGGCTGGAGCGCTGTGGCAGGATCTCGGCTCACTGAACCCTTGACCTCTCAGGTTCAAGCAGTCCTCACGCCTCAGCCTTTGAAGTAGCTGGGACCGTGGGAGGGTGCCACCACATCTGTTCTGGCTAATAATATTATTATTACCACTGTTTGCAGAGACTCACTAGATGTAGGGTCTTAATATGTTGCCGAAGCTGGTCTCTAACTCCTGGGCTCAAGCGATCTTCCTGCCTCAGACTCCCAAAATTCTGGGATTATAGGCAGGTGCCACCGCGCCCGGCCTAAATCTTTTCTTCTGTTAGAAATTAAGTGGTTCTGCCTGTCTCAGTGGCTCACGCCTGTAATCGCAGCGCTTTGGGAGGCCGAGGCGGGAGGATCACCTGAGGTCGGGAGTTCGAGACCAGCCTGACCAACATGTAGAAACCCCATCTCTACTAAAAATATAAAATTAGGTGGGCGTGGTAGCGCATACTTGTAATCCTAGCTACTCAGGAGGCTGAGGCAGGAGAATCACTTGAACCCGGGAAGCGGAGGTTGCGGGGAGCCTAGATCATACCATTGCTCTCCAGCCTGCGCAGCAAGAGAGAAACTGTCTCAAAAAATAAAATAAAATAAAATTCAGTGGTTCTGACTGGGGAAAGAGTAGCAGATGCTTAGATCTAGAGAGACTCTAGTTAAGGTTGGCTCATAAGAGGATAGTTGTGTGTGCTTTTATTTCTGTTCTCTTGGGGGATTTAGGATAGAGCTATAGAGAGCTCCAAAAAAAAAAATATATTGGAACAGGTCAGATGCTGTGGTTGCTGTGTGTGGAGTCCTGGGCAGTGCTAAGGTTTTGTGTCTAATGAGTCCTCTTAACAAGAAGGTATTGTTTTTTATTCACTGAGGTGAGGGAGCCTCTTAGCATCATTCTAGTCCAGCTTCCGGACCTGAGTCTTATGCAAATACCTATGCCAGTTGCCATTCTCACGCTATTCACAGCTATCATATAAAGAGGTGTTATACCCTTTCTGTAAAGTTTTTGTTGCTACTGCTATTTTTTTTTTTTTTTTTTTGAGACAAAGTCTAGCTCTGTTTCCCAGGCTGGAGTACAGTGGCGCTATCTCAGCTCACTGCAACTTCCACCTCCCAGGTTCAAGCAATTCTCGTGCCTCAGCCTTCTAAGTAGCTGGGACTACAGCCGCCTGTCACCAACCTGGCTAATTTTCGTATTTTTAGTCGATATAGGGTTTCACTATGTTGGCCAGGCTGGTCTCAAGCTCCAGACCTCAGGTGATCCTCCCACCTTGGACTCCCAAAGTGCTGTGATTACAGGCGTGAGCCACCGCACCCGGCCCTGTTGTTTTTAAAATAGAGACAGGGTCTTAAGTTGCCAGGCTGGTCTGGAACTTCTGGACTGGAGTGATCACCCACCTGAGCTTCCCAAAGTGCGGGGATTGCAAGCGTCAGCCACCACCCCCAGTGTTGTGTTTTTGTTTGTTTTACCAGGCTGGAGTGCAGTGGTGCGATCACAGCTCACTGCAGCCTTAACTTCCCTGGCTCAGGTGATCCTCCCACCTCAGCCTCCTCAGTAGCTGGGACTACAGGTGCATGCCACTATGCCCAGCACAATTTTTTTTTTTTTTGTATTTTTTTGTAGAGACAGGGTTTTGCCATGTTGCCCAGGCTGGTCTCAAACTCCAAGCAATCCTCCCACCTTGGCTTCCCAAAGTGTTTGGGGTTCCAGGTGTGAGCCATGGCCCCCCGGCCAGCTTCAGTAAAGTAAAAGCCACACACCTGTGTCCTGAGACCAGGCTCCACCACTAAGTTATCTTTAAGCCTTTTTTTTTTTTGAGACAGTTTCACTCTTGTCGCCCCAGGCTGGAGTGCAGTGGCGCCATGTCAGCTCACCACAACCTCTGCCTCCCACTCCCAGGTTCAAGCGATTCTCCTGCCTCAGCCTCCCAAGTAGCTGGAACTACAGGCACCTGCCACCACGCCCGGCTAATTTTTTGTATTTTTAGTAGAGACGGGGTTTCACTGTGTTAGCCAGGATGGTCTCGATCTCCTGACCTCACGATCCGCCCGCCTCGGCCTCCCAAAGTGCTGGGATTGCAGGCGTGAGCCACCGCGCCCGGCTGTGTGTTTGCATTATCATATTCAGCCCAGTTTTCACGAAGTTTCTTGTCTCCTGGGTGATCCACGTAGCTCCCCACTTCCTTATCTGATCTATGCTTGTCCTTTCATTGTTGTGTTACTACTTTGCTATAATGAGAGAGTGTTTTCGCTTTATAGGTTAACTTTTAGAACCTGAGCAGCCCCTCAGGGAAAACCCTGACAGTAGCTGGTTATTTTGCAATTAGAAAAACTAGCTGGGCACTGAGGCAGGTGAATCACGAGGTCAGGAGTTCGAGACCAGCCTGGCCAACTTGGTGAAACCCCCCATCTCTACTAAAAATACAAAAAAATTAGCTGGGCACAGTGGTGAATGCCTGTAATCCCAGCTACTTGGGAGGCTGAGGCAGGAGAATTGCTTGAATCCGGGAGGCAGAGGTTGTAGTGAGCCGAGATTGCAGCACTGCACTCCAGCCAGGGTGACAAAGTGAGACTCCGTCTCAAAAAAAAAAAAAAAAAAAATACAAAAAGTAGCTGAGCGTGGTGGTGGGTGCCCATAATCCCAGCTAGTCGGGAGGCTGAGGCAGGAGAACTGTTTGAACCTGGGAGGCAGAGGTTGCAGTGAGCTGAGATCGTACTACTGTACTCCAGCCTGGGCTGCAGAGTGAAACTATCTCAAAAATAAGTAAATAAAAGTAAAATGAGTTGAGGTCTTGCTCTGTTGCCCAGATGGGAGTGCAGTGGCACAATCAAGGCTCACTGCAGTTTCAGTCTCCCAGGCTCAAGCAATCCTCCCACTGCAGCCTCCTGAGTAGCTGGGACTACAGGCATGTACCACCACCCACTGCTAACTTATTTTTCATGGAGATGGGGGTCTCACTATGTTGCCCAGGCTGGGAGTTTGTTCTTGAAGAAGCAGGGTAGATGGTGAGTGTCCTTGTTCGTGGCACAGCAGGAACTGGCATTTGAGACAGGAGTGCTAATCACCATCCCTCTCCACTCCTCCCTTGATTGTCATCACAGCTCCCACGTGGGACAAGATGGTGTCTTCGGCGCAGATGGGCTTCAACCTGCAGGCTCTCCTGGAGCAGCTCAGCCAGGATGAGTTGAGCAAGTTCAAGTATCTGATCACGACCTTCTCCCTGGCACACGAGCTCCAGAAGATCCCCCACAAGGAGGTAGACAAGGCTGATGGGAAGCAACTGGTAGAAATCCTCACCACCCATTGTGACAGCTACTGGGTGGAGATGGCGAGCCTCCAGGTCTTTGAAAAGATGCACCGAATGGATCTGTCTGAGAGAGCAAAGGATGAAGTCAGAGGTGAGTGGAAATCGGTCCACACTGTGTCCTAGGAGGAAGCAGGCGTCCTCTCCAGGACTTTAGAAATTCAGAAGGCCAGGCGCGCTGGCTCACGCCTGTCGTCCCAGCCCTTTGGGAGGCTGAGGCGGTTGGACCACCTGAGGGTCAGGAGTTTGAGACCAGCCTGACCAACATGGTGATGAAACAGCATCTCTACTAAAAATACAAAAATTTGCTGGACGTGGTGGCAGACACCTGTAATCCCAGCTACTCCGGGAGGCTGAGGCAGGAGAATCACTTAAATCTAGGAGGCGGGGGTTGCTATGAGCCGAGATCACGCCATTGCACCCCAGCCTGGGCAACAAGAGCAAAATTCTGTCTCAAAAAAAAAAAGAAATGGCATTGAGGCTTGGAGAGGGACTGCTTGTTCTGAATGCAGGTGCTGGATCTTCATAAACCCTGGTGTCTGTCCTGGTCCTTATTTTCTACCTACTTCTTTTTTTTTTTTTTTTTGTCCTTTTATTTTTTTATTTTTTATTTTATTATTATTATTTTTTTTATTATACTTTAAGTTTTAGGGTACATGTGCACATTGTGCAGGTTAGTTACATATGTATACATGTGCCATGCTGGTGCGCTGCACCCACTAACTCGTCATCTAGCATTAGGTATATCTCCCAATGCTATCCCTCCCCCCTCCCCCCACCCCACCACAGTCCCCAGAGTGTGATGTTCCCCTTCCTGTGTCCATGTGATCTCATTGTTCAATTCCCACCTATGAGTGAGAATATGCGGTGTTTGGTTTTTTGTTCTTGTGATAGTTTACTGAGAATGATGGTTTCCAATTTCATCCATGTCCCTACAAAGGACATGAACTCATCATTTTTTATGGCTGCATTGTATTCCATGGTATATATGTGCCACATTTTCTTAATCCAGTCTATCATTGTTGGACATTTGGGTTGGTTCCAAGTCTTTGCTATTGTGAATAATGCTGCAATAAACATACGTGTGCATGTGTCTTTATAGCAGCATGATTTATAGTCATTTGGGTATATACCCAGTAATGGGATGGCTGGGTCAAATGGTATTTCTAGTTCTAGATCCCTGAGGAATCCCCACACCGACTTCCACAATGGTTGAACTAGTTTACAGTCCCACCAACAGTGTGAAAGTGTTCCTATTTCTCCACATCCTCTCCAGCACCTGTTGTTTCCTGACTTTTTAATGATCGCCATTCTAACTGGTGTGAGATGATATCTCATAGTGGTTTTGATTTGCATTTCTCTGATGGCCAGTGATGATGAGCATTTTTTCATGTGTTTTTTGGCTGCATAAATGTCTTCTTTTGAGAAGTGTCTGTTCATGTCGTTCGCCCACTTTTTGATGGGGTTGTTTGTTTTTTTCTTGTAAATTATTTTCTACCTATTTCTATCGCTTTCAGGTATCGTACAGTTGGCCTAACATATCTGTGGATTTAACCAATCCTAGATCAAAAATAATGGGGGCAAAGACAATTAAAAATAACAATACAATAAAATGCACATGAACTATGGTTATTTAACTCTTCTTGAGAGAGGATCTCACTCTGTCACCCAGGCTGGAATTTAGCAGCACGATCTCGGCTCACTGCAACCTCCGCCTCCCGGGTTCAAGCGATTCTCCTGCCTCAGCCTCCCGAGTAGCCGGGATTACAAGCATGTCCCACCATGCCTGGCTGATTTTTTTTTTTTTTTTTTTTGTATTCTAAATAGAGATGGGGTTTCACCATGTTAGCCAGGATAGTCTCGATGTCGTGACCTCATGATCTGCCCGCCTCGGCCTCCCAAAGTGTTGGGATTACAGGCGTGAGCCACCGCACCCAGCCAGCAAGTGCATTTAGAACTACTCTACTTTCTACCCCATAACTTTTTTTTTTGTTTGTTTGAGACAAGTCTCACTCTGTCACCCAGGATGGAGTGCAGCAGCACAATCTCAGCTTATTGCAACTCCCGCCCCCTGGGTTCAAGTGTTTCTCCTGCATCAGCCTCTTGAATAGCTAGGATTATACAGGCACCTGCCACTGTGCCTGGCTAAATTTTGTATTTTAATAGAGATGGGGTTTCACTATGTTGGCCAGGCTGGTCTTGAACTCCTGACCACGTGATCAACCCGCCTCAGCCTCCCAATGTGCTGGAATTACAGGTGTGAGCCGCCATGCCCAGCTACACTTTTTTTTGAAACGGGGTCTCGTTTTCTTGCTCAGGCTGGAGTACAATGGGGCAATCACAGCTCACTGCAGCCTTGACCTCCCAGACTTGAGCAATCCTACCACTATGGCCTCCCACCACACCTCGCTCATTCTTGTATATATATATATTTTTGTAGAGATAGGGTTTCACCATGTTGCCCAGGCTGGTCTCGAACTTCTGTGGGCTCAACCGATCCTCCTGCCTTGGCTTCCCACAGTCCTGGGATCAGAAACATGAGCCACAGTGCCTGGCCAGTGCAGCTTTATTTACAGTAACCAAGATATAGAGTCAGTCTAAGTGACCATCAGTGGATGAATAAAAAATGTGCCCGTTGGGTACCCTGCCTACTGCCTGGGTTATGAGATTGTTGGGACCCCAAGCCTTAAAAAGGAAACATGGTAGGCCGGGCACAGTGGCTCACGCCTGTAATCACAGCACTTTGGGAGGCCAAGGCGGGTGGATCACTTGAGGCCAGGAGTTTGAGACCAGTCAGGCCAATGTGGTGAAACCCTGTCTCTACTAAAAATATAAAAAAATCAGCCGGGCGTGGTGGCACACTCCTGTAGTCCCAGCTACTTGGGAGGCTGAGGCAGGAGGATTGCTTGAACCAGAGAGTCAGAGGTTGCAGTGAGCCAAGATCGTGCCACTGCGCTCCAGCCTGGGTGACAGCAAGACTCCATCTCAAAAAAAAAAAACAAACAAACATGGTATTAATTACACAATGGAATACTCCTCAACCTTAAGGAACTCCTATCTTTTTATTTAAAAATTGCCAGTTTTATTTCAGCTAGAGATCACTTTTTAGCATAATGTTTCCTGTCTTTAACAATGGGTGAGGGTTTTTTTTTTTTTTTTTTTGGTTTGGTTTGGATTTTGGTTTTGCTTTTGAGTCGAAGTTTCACTCTTGTCTCCCAGGCTAGAGTGCAATGGCGCGATCTCGGCTCACTGTGACCTCCTCCTCCCAGGTTTAAGTGATTCTCCTGCCTCAGCCTCCAGAGTAGCTGGGATTACAGGCGCCTACCACCATGCCCGCTAATTTTTGTATTTTAGTAGAGACAGGGTTTTACCATGTTGACCAGACTGGTCTCGAACTCCCGACCTCAGGTGATCTGCCCACCTCAGCCTCCCAGAGTGCTGGGATTACAGGTGTGAGCAACCATGCCCGGCCAAGGGTTTTTAACTTTAGCTGACCTCCGGAGGTTACAAGTTTGAAAACGGCAGGAGGAAACCCAGAGAGTTGTAAACTTACGAAGGTCTGGGCTCTGAAAAAGATACAAATTTTCTTTCCATGCCAATAGCGCTCACACAGACATGGTGAATGTTCCTGAAACCCGCCGGACTTTCTGTAAGAAGTGTGGCAAGCACCACCCCCACAAAGTGACACAAGGCAAGGATTCTTGGTATGCCCAGGGGAAGTAGTGTTATGACAGGAAGCAGAGTGGCTATGGTGGGCAGACTAAGCCGATTTTCCGGAAAAAGGCTAAAACTACAAAGAAGATTGTGCTAAGGCTTGAGTGCCTTGAGCCCAACTGCAGATCTAAGAATGCTGGCTATTAAAAGATACAAGCAGCCAAGCGCGGTGGCTCACGCCTGTAATCCCAACACTTTGGGAGGCCGAGGTGGGCGGATCACAAGGTCAGGAGTCTGAGACCAGCCTGGCCAAAATGGTGAAACCCCATCTCTACTAAAAATACAAAACTTAGCTGGGCATGGTGGTGTATGCCTATAGTCCCAGCTACTCAGGAAGCTGAGGCAGGAGAATCGCTTGAACCTGGGAGGCAGAGGTTGCAGTGAGCCAAGATTGTGCCACTCCAGCCTGGGCAACAGAGTGACACTCTGTCTCAAAAAAAAAAGATGCAAGCATTTTGAACTGGAAGGAGATAAGAGAAAGGAACAAGTGATCCAGTTCTAAGTGTCATCTTTTCTTTTATGAAGGCAATAAAATCTTGAGCTTATGGTAAAATGCAAAATTTTCCCCCCTTCTCCTTTTTCAGAAGCAGCTTTGAAATCCTTTAATAAAAGGAAGCCTCTATCATTAGGTAAGTTACCTCATTTATAACTTTTATTCTTCATGTGAGATCTGGGGACTCGGGCCTTTGTTTTAAGGAGAATGTGCTGAGCACTAAGAATGCAAAGAAATGCCGGACTTAGCATCCCTGCTCCCAGGGCGGAGCTGGTCTCGCAGGTGCGTAGCAGTAAGACCTGGGAAGCTGAAACACGATCGCGTTTGTTGGAAATCTATAAATACATACAAAGCGGGGAAGGGTAAGCTTGGCCTTTGAATCTGGATAAGGTAGAGACTTTTCTTTTTTGAGATGGAGGCTTGCTCTGTCACCTAGGCTGAAGTGCAGTGGTACGACCTCGGCTGACTGCAACCTCTACCTCCTGGGTTCAAGCAGTTCTCCTGCCTCAGCCTCTAGAATAGCTGGGATTACAGGTACCTGCCACCAGGCCCGGCTAATTTTTTGTGGTGTTTGTAGAGATGGGGTTTCACCATGATGGCCAGGCTGGTCTTGAACTCCTGACCTCAAGTGATCTGCCCACCTCAGCGTCCCAAAATGCTGGGATTATGGGCATGAGCCACCACCACACCCGGTTTTGTTTTTTTTTTTTTTTTTTTTTTTTTTTTTTTTTTTTTGAAACAGGGCTTCACTCTGTCACTTAGGCTGGAGTGGTGCAATCATGGTTCACTGCAGCCTTGACCTCCCAAGCTCTGGTGATCCTCCTGCCTCAGCCTCCTGAGTAGCTGGGACCACAGGCACTTGCCACCATGCCTGGCTAATTTTTTTCACTTTTTGTAGAGACAGGGTCTTGCTATGTTGCCCAGGCTGGCCTCGAATTACTAAACTCAATCAGTCCTCCTGCCTCACCCTCCCAAACTGCTGGGGTACAGGTGTGAGCCATGACACCTGGCCCTTACCAGCTACTTATATCCTGAAGATTATTATTATTTTTTTTTTTTTTGAGATAGAGTCTCTCTCTGTTGCCCAGGCTGGAGTGCAGTGGCGTGATCTCGGCTCACTGCAAGCTCCGCCTCCCGGGTTCATGCCATTCTCCTGCCTCAGCCTCCCGAGTAGCTGGGACTACAGGCGCCCACCACCACGCCTGGCTAATTTTTTTGTGTTTTTAGTAGAGACGGGGTTTCACCGTGTTAGCCAGGATGGTCTCGATCTCCTGACCTTGTGATCCGCCCGCCTCGGCCTCCCAAAGTGCTGGGATTACAGGCGTGAGCCACCGCGCCCGGCCCCTGAAGATTGTGTTTTGAGATGGGGTCTTGCTGTGTTGCTCCGGCTTGATTGCAGTGGCACAGTCATAGCTCATTGCAGCCTCAACCTTCCAGGCTCCAGAGATCCTCTTACCTCAGCCTCCTGAGTAGCTGGGACTACAGGTGTGCACTGCCACACCTGACTAATATTTGTATTTTTGGTAGGGACAGTTTCACTATGTTGCCAGATATGGTGTCAAACTCCTGGTCTCAAGTGATCCTCCCACCTTGGCCTCCCAAAGTGCTGGGATTACAGACATGATTCACCACACCTGGCCATGAAGACTTTTTTTTTTTGGACAAAGTCTCACTCTGTTGCCCAGGATGGAATGCAGTGGCATGATCTCAGCTCACTGCAACCTCTGACCTCCGCCTCCCGGTTCAAGTGATTCTCTTGCCTCAGCCTCCCGAGTAGCTGGGATTATAGGTGTCTGCCACCAAGCCCAGCTAATTTTTGTAATTTTAGTAGAGATGGGGTTTCACCATGTTGGCCAGGCTGGTCTTGAACTCCTGACCTCGTGATCCACGTGCCTCAGCCTCCCAAAGTGTTGGGATTACAGGTGTGAGTCACTGCGCCTGGTCTCATGAAGACCTTTTTTGAGACAGAGTCTTGCTCTGTCACCCAGGCTGGAGTGCAGTGGTACAATCTCACTGCAGCCTCCGCCTCCCAGGTTCAAGTGATTCTCCTGCCTTAGCCTCCCAAGTAGCTGGGATTACAGGCGCCTACCACCACGTCTGGCTAATTTTTGTATTTTTAGTAGAGACAGGGTTTCACCATGTTGGCCAGGCTGGTCTCAAACTGCTGACCTCAAATGAACTGTCTGCCTCAGCCTCACAAAGTACTGGGATTACAGGCATGAGCCACCTCACCTGGTGGTGAAGACTCTAAAGGCTCTTCTCAGATCAGCCTTTGTCCTGAATTTCACATGCCCGTGTCCAGTTCCCTCCCCAGCATCTTTTCAGGAGTTCCATGGACTCACCTCTTCATTATCCAGGGTTAAGCTGCAGATATTGTTATTAGGATTCCACCTTGTTCTCTCTCTTTTTTTTTTTTTTTTTGATACGGAGTCTCGCTTGCTCTTTTGCCAGGCTGAAGTGCAGTGGAGCGATCTTGGCTCACTGCAATCTCCGCCTCCTGGGTTCAAGCAATTCCCTTGCCTCAGCCTCGCAAGTAGCTGGGACTTACAGGTAACACACCACCATGCCCGGCTAATTTTTTGTTTTAGTAGAGACGGGGCTTCACCATGTTGGCCGGGATGGTCTCGATCTCCTGACCTCATGATCCGCCTGCCTTGGCCTCCCAAAGTGTTGGGTTACAGGCATGAGCCACCATGCCCGGCTGATTCCACCTTGTTCTTACATTCTTTCCCAGTTCATTTTAAATTTATCTACCTCATCAGAAACTAGGGGGTTAGGCCTGGCAGGCAGATCACCTGAGGTTGGGAGTTCGAGACCAGCCTGACCAACGTAGAGAAACCCTGTCTGTACTAAAAATACAAAATTAGCCAGGTATGGTGGCACATTCCTGTAATCCCAGCTACTCCGGAGGCCGAGGCAGGAGAATCACTTGAACCCAGGAGGCGGAGGTTGCAGTGAGCCGACATCACACCATTGCATTCCAGCCTGGGCAACAAGAGCAAAACTACATCTCAAAAAAAAAGAAAAACTAGGCAGTTAATCCTCAAAGCCTTTCCAGTGGCCTTATGCGTGAGTAGTTTGTGTGTGTGTGTGTGTGTGTGTGTGTGTGTGTGTGTCTTTCACACCATGTGTTCTGAACTACTTAGGAATTCTCACCAGAAAGGCACATAAACCTGGGATCATGGCCTAATGTACTTTCACTTTTACATCCAGTACCTTATCAACGTCCTTTTTAGTACCTAATCTAGGCTTCACTACTGAGACTCAGGGGTCCAACTTGAGCCATCTTGGAGTCCCACTGCCAGCACAGCAACAGGCCTGTAATGCCGCCCTTTTTCTCCAGGGATAACACGGAAAGAACGACCACCTCTAGACGTGGACGAAATGCTGGAGCGCTTCAAAACAGAAGCACAAGGTGGGTGTCAGGACCTCCAATGTTGGAGTCAGCTGAGGAAGCCCCCCGTTCTTGCTGCTATCTCCTGTTCCTTTGAAGAACCCCATCTCTCTCCAATCTTTTCCTCCACTATTCTTAATGTGCCCACTGTCTCCTGGAGAATGCCAACCTCCCTTCCGTAAGAATAGAGGGAAGAACGAACGTTGCAGAGAATTAGAACTCAGTTTGTAGAAAGTTAGGAGCACAGCGCAGAGAGTTTTTGTTTTTGTTTTTGTTTTGAGACAGTTTCTCTGTTGGCCAGGTTGGAATGCAATGGCGCGATCTCGGCTCACTGTAACCTCCACCTCCCAGGTTCAAGCGATTCTCCTGATTCTCCTGACTCAGCCTCCTGAGTAGCTGGGATTATAGGCACCTGCCACCACACCCAGCTAATTTTTTTTTTTTTTTTTGAGACGAAGTCTTGTTCTTGTCACCCAGGCTGGAGTATAGTGGCACCATCCCTGTTCACTGCAACCTCCGCCTCCCAGATTCAAGTGATTGTCCTGTCTCAGCCTCCTGAGTAGCTGGGACTACAGGTGCATGCCACCACGCCCAGCTAATTTTTTTTTGTACTTTTAGTAGAGACAGGTTTCACCATCTCATTCAGGGTGGTCTCAAACTCCTGACCTCAAGAGATCTGCTCCACCCACCCCCAAGTCTCCCGAAGTGCTGGGATTACAGGCGAGAGCCACCGTACCCGGCCTTCTTTAAATTATTTAAAAGTTGACAGGTGGCCAGGTGTGGTGGCTCTCACCTATAATCTCCCAGCACTTTGGGAGGCTGAGGCGGGTGGATCAAGAGATCGAGACCATCCTGGCCAACATGGTGAAACCCAACTCTACTAAAAACACAAAAATTAGCCGGGTGTGGTGGCACCCGCCTGTAGTCCCAGCTACTCAGGAGGCTGAGGCAGGAGAATCGCTTGAACCCGGGAGGTGGAGGTTGCAGTGAGCCAAGATTGTGCCACTGCACTCCAGCCTGGCAACAGTGCGAGACTCCATCTTAAAAAAAAAAAAAAAAAATTGACAGGCATAAATGTATTTATGGTACATTGCTCAGACAACTTTAATATAAACAACTTACAGAGAAAATTGAGTCTTTTGGGTAGGTGACTTGCCTGAGCTGACTTTGTGATAGGTTTTTTCTGTTTTTTTTGTTTTTGAAATAGAGTCTCACTCTGTCATGCAGGCTGGAGTGCAGTGGCCCCATCTTGGCTCACTGCAATCTCTGCCTCCTGGGTTCAAGGGGTCTTCCTGCCACAGCCTCCCCAGGTGCTGGGACTATAGGTGCCCACCACTATGCCTGGCTAACTTTTGTGTTTTTAGTACAGATGGGGTTTCAACAGGGTAGCCAGGTTGGTCTAGAACTCCTGACCTCAAGTGATCCACCTACCTCGGTCTCCTAAAGTGCTGGGATTACAGCTGTGAACCACCGCACCTAGCCTGTGATCAGTTTCAGATCAGCCTTGCTTACTCCACATTCCCTCTTATCTTCCTGGTAGCATTTTTGTTTTTTCTTGAGAAAGAGTTTTGCCCTTGTCGCCCAGGCTAGAGTGCAATGGTGTGATCTCGGCTCGCCACAACCTCCACCTCCCAGGTTCAAGTGATTCTGCCTCAGCCTCCCGAGTAGCTGGGATCATAGGCGCCCACCACCACATCTGGCTAATTTTTGCATTTGTTAGTTTTATTTTTAGTAGACAGGGTTTCACCATGTTGGGCAGGCTGGTCTTGAACTCCTGACCTCAGGTGATCCACCCACTTCGGCCTCCCAAAGTGCTGGGATTACAGGCATGAGCCACCGTACCTAGCCCACATTGACTTTTGATACAGCAAGTATTTCTTGCTATGGCTCTGTATAATAGAGGTGAGTAACTTGGTTGAAGGAATTGTTTGCCCTGTTCATCTCTCTAGACACGGCCAATGTCATTCCTGGCACACAATCTTTTTTTTTCTTGAGATGGAGTCTCACTCTGTTGCCCAGACTGGAGTGCAGTGGTGCAATCTTGGCCCACTGCAACCTCTGCTACCCAGGTTCAAGCGATTCTCCTGCCTCAGCCTCCCAAATAGCTGGGAGTACAGGTGTGTGCCACCACGCCCAGCTAATTTTTTGTATTTTAGTAGAGACAGGGTTTCACCGTGTTAGTCAGGATGGTCTGGATCTCCTAACCTCGTGATCCGTCCGCCTCAGCCTCCCAAAGTGCTGGGATGACAGGCGTGAGCCACTGTGCCCAGCCTAGCACACAATCTTGACAAAGAATTTCGGTGCGACTTGGGGTACTGTGGTGCCTGCTCTATCATCATGCTTCAGCAGGAAATGTGGGTGAATAGTGCCTGGTGGCATGGCAGGTAAAGAAATGTTTTGTTTTGTTTTTTTTTTTGAGACAGTCTTGCTCTGTCACCCAAGCTGGAGTGCAGTGGCGCAATCTCGGCTCACTGCAAGCTCCATCTCCCGGGTTCACGCCATTCTGCCTCAGCCTCCCCAGTAGCTGGGACTACAGGCGCCCGCCACACGCCCGGCTAATTTTTTGTATTTGTAGTAGAGACAGGGTTTCACCGTGTTAGCCAGGATGGTCTCGATCTCCTGACCTTATGATCCACCCGCCTTGGCCTCCCAAAGTGCTGGGATTACAGGCGTGAGCCACCGCGCCCAGCCGCGGGTAAAGAAATTTATGAAGACAATCGTAGGTAAAGGAAGGCAGATTTATTGGAGAAAGTAGGAAAAGACATTGGCAGAGAGACCCCAGCGGGCAGGTTGTCATGAGTAGCTCACTGCCAGGAGACCAAAGCTTCCTGCAGATTTTATAGAATAGGGCTTGGGCTGATTGATAATGTCAACAGGGGGTTTAACTTGCGGTCTTCTTTCAGCAGAAGTGTTTGATAAACTGAGGCGTTTCATGGCAAACAGGGAGTTTGTGAGCTCTGTGTGTGATCTGGCCAGGAAGGCCAAACATCTTGGGCCGTATCTCCTGGACCATAAAAGCAGACCTGGCCCAGTGCAGTGGTTCATGCCTGCAATCCCAGCACTTTGGGAGGCTGAGGTGGGTGGATCATCTGAGGTCAGCAGTTTTAGACTGGCCTGGCCAACATGGCGAAACCCCATCTCTACTAAAAATACAAAAATTAGCCTAGACGCAGTGGCACATGCCTGTAATTCCAGTTACTTGGGAAGCTGAGGCAGGAGAATCGCTTGAACCCGGGAGGCGGAGGTTGCAGTGAGCTGAGATTGCGCCACTGCACTCCAGCCTGGGCAACAGAGTGAGACTGTCTCAAACAGACCTATAGCTGACCTGTTTCCTCTTGTTTGTATGCCCTGAACCATGGAGGAAAGCTTATTTATTTATTTTATTGAGATGGAGTCTTGCTCTGTTGCCCAGGGTGGAGTGCAGTAGTGCGATCTCTTACTACAACCTCCATCTCCCAGGTTCAAGCAATTCTCGAGCCTCTTGGCCTCCCAAGTAGCTGAGATTACAGGCATGCGCCACCACGCCTGGCTAATTTTTGCATTTTTAGTAGAGATGGGGTTTCTGTGTTGGCCAGGCTGGTCTCGAACTCCTGAGCTCAAGTGATCCACCCCACCTCAGCCTCCCAAAGTTCTGGGATTATAGGCATGAGCCACCACACCTGGCCGGAAAACACATTTGTAGCTTATTTGCTTTATCTGATCCCGTGCCCCCCCTCCCCCCCGCCCCATCAGCCTGCCTCCTTTTCTCTAATTGGGACTCCACAGGAAATACACCTGATTTTGTGTCAATCTCACATGAGTTTGTATTTTGTAGCGTTTACAGAAACGAAAGGAAATGTCATCTGCCTGGGTAAAGAAGTCTTTAAAGGAAAAAAGCCAGGTCTGTACCATATCTTCCTGCAGGGAGCTTGGGATCAGATTTCTCTTTATAAACTTGAAGTCCTCTTAACTTTCCTATGTAACACAAAGCATTTATTTATGTATGTATGTATCGAGACGGAGTTTTGCTCTTGTTGCCCAGGCTGGAGTGCCGTGGCGTGATCTCGACTCACTGCAACCTCCGCCTCCCAGGTTCAAGCAATTCTCCTGCCTCAGCCTCCCGAGTAGCTGGGATTACAGGCATGCGCCACCATGACTGGCTAATTTTTTATTTTTAGTAGAGACAAGGTTTCTTCATGTTGGTCAGGCTGGTGTTGAACTCCCAATGTCAGGTGATCTGCCTGCCTCGACCTCCCAAAGGGCTGGGATTACAGGCATGAGCCACTGTGCCCGGCCAACACAAGGCATTTTGTTATTTTGGTTTTCCCTATGGGTAACTGATTGCATCCTCTCTCCCTTCCCTCCTCACCAATGATAAAGACAAAGACAATAGGTGCAGGTATATATTGAAGACGAAGTTCCGGGAGATGTGGAAGAGCTGGCCTGGAGATAGCAAAGAGGTCCAGGTTATGGCTGAGAGATACAAGATGCTGATCCCATTCAGCAACCCCAGGGTGCTTCCCGGGCCCTTCTCATACACGGTGGTGCTGTATGGTCCTGCAGGCCTTGGGAAAACCACGCTGGCCCAGAAACTAATGCTAGACTGGGCAGAGGACAACCTCATCCACAAATTCAAATATGCGTTCTACCTCAGCTGCAGGGAGCTCAGCCGCCTGGGCCCGTGCAGTTTTGCAGAGCTGGTCTTCAGGGACTGGCCTGAATTGCAGGATGACATTCCACACATCCTAGCCCAAGCACGGAAAATCTTGTTCGTGATTGACGGCTTTGATGAGCTGGGAGCCGCACCTGGGGCGCTGATCGAGGACATCTGCGGGGACTGGGAGAAGAAGAAGCCGGTGCCCGTCCTCCTGGGGAGTTTGCTGAACAGGGTGATGTTACCCAAGGCCGCCCTGCTGGTCACCACGCGGCCCAGGGCCCTGAGGGACCTCCGGATCCTGGCGGAGGAGCCGATCTACATAAGGGTGGAGGGCTTCCTGGAGGAGGACAGGAGGGCCTATTTCCTGAGACACTTTGGAGACGAGGACCAAGCCATGCGTGCCTTTGAGCTAATGAGGAGCAACGCGGCCCTGTTCCAGCTGGGCTCGGCCCCCGCGGTGTGCTGGATCGTGTGCACGACTCTGAAGCTGCAGATGGAGAAGGGGGAGGACCCGGTCCCCACCTGCCTCACCCGCACGGGGCTGTTCCTGCGTTTCCTCTGCAGCCGGTTCCCGCAGGGCGCACAGCTGCGGGGCGCGCTGCGGACGCTGAGCCTCCTGGCCGCGCAGGGCCTGTGGGCGCAGACGTCCGTGCTTCACCGAGAGGATCTGGAAAGGCTCGGGGTGCAGGAGTCCGACCTCCGTCTGTTCCTGGACGGAGACATCCTCCGCCAGGACAGAGTCTCCAAAGGCTGCTACTCCTTCATCCACCTCAGCTTCCAGCAGTTTCTCACTGCCCTGTTCTACACCCTGGAGAAGGAGGAGGAAGAGGATAGGGACGGCCACACCTGGGACATTGGGGACGTACAGAAGCTGCTTTCCGGAGTAGAAAGACTCAGGAACCCCGACCTGATCCAAGCAGGCTACTACTCCTTTGGCCTCGCTAACGAGAAGAGAGCCAAGGAGTTGGAGGCCACTTTTGGCTGCCGGATGTCACCGGACATCAAACAGGAATTGCTGCGATGCGACATAAGTTGTAAGGGTGGACATTCAACGGTGACAGACCTGCAGGAGCTCCTCGGCTGTCTGTACGAGTCTCAGGAGGAGGAGCTGGTGAAGGAGGTGATGGCTCAGTTCAAAGAAATATCCCTGCACTTAAATGCAGTAGACGTTGTGCCATCTTCATTCTGCGTCAAGCACTGTCGAAACCTGCAGAAAATGTCACTGCAGGTAATAAAGGAGAATCTCCCGGAGAATGTCACTGCGTCTGAATCAGACGCCGAGGTTGAGAGGTGAGAACCGTTTCACTCTACCAGTCGTTCCATCTTTAGCCTCATCCCATGCCCCCTTAGGAAGAGGCCAGAGCCTCCTATGCACTGTGGCTTAGGGTCAGGAATTCCCTCTTGTTGGACTCTTTGTTTGTTTTTGTTTTGAGATGGAGTCTTGCTCTGTCGCTCAGGCTGGAGCGCAGTGGCGCGATCTTGGCTCCCTGCAACCTCCGCCTCCCGGGTTCAAGTGATTCTTCTGCCTCAGCCTCCTGAGTAGCTGGGACTACAGGCGCCTGCCACCTTGCCCGGCTAATTTTTATATTTTCATTAGAGACGGGATCTCAGCATGTTGGCCAGTCTGGTCTTGAACTCCGCCTGACCTCAGGTGATCCACCTGCCTCAGCCTCCAAAGTGGGATTACAGGCATGATTCACCATGCCCGGCCCAAATATATTTTTTTAAGACAGGGTCTTGCTGTGTTGCTCAGGCTGGAGTACAGTGGTGAAATCAGCTCACTGCATCCTCAAACTTCTGGGTTCAAGTGATGTTCCTGAGTACCTGGGATGACAGGTATTAAGTGTGCACCATCATGTCCAGCTAACTTAAGTGGGGGTTTTTTTTTGTGTTTTTTTTTTTTTTTTTTTTTTTGGAAAGACAAAATCTCACTATGTTGTCCAGGCTGGTCTTGAACTCCCAAAGCACTGAGATTACAGGCATGAGTTACCACACGCCCTGCCTGAATATTTCTTATTGATATGTATAGATATGTATATTCCCAATCTTTTTTTTTTTTTTTGAGACGGAGTTTCACTCTTTTTCCCAGGTCGGAGTGAAGTGGCTCGATCTCGGCTCACTGCAACCTCCGCCCCACCAGGTTCAATGATTCTCCTGCCTCAGCCTCATGAGTAGCTGGGATTACAGCCACCCACGACCATGCCCAGCTAATTTTTGTACTTTTAGTAGAGACGGGGTTTCACCATGTTGGCCAGGCAGGTCTCGAACTCCCGACCTCAGGTGATCCACCCGCCTCAGCCTCACAAAGTGCTAGGATTATAGGCGTGAGTCACCGTGCCCGGTCTATATTCTCTATCTTTTATCAATGATGTGCTTAGCATTTTAACTTATTTTTACCCTCTATTGGATTTTTGTCTAAGAAGAATAGGTTCTTTCTCCTGTGATGCTTCTTGGGTGTTGAGTTGTCTGATGGTGGTGCTAATAAGTGATTACATGGTCCAGCTTTCAATTGTACTCATTTGTCAGGGGTATATGCCCAGAGAAACCCTAAATACTTCAGCCGTGATGGACACACATTTGGTGTAACCCTTTCTTCTCTTCCCTATAGATCCCAGGATGATCAGCACATGCTTCCTTTCTGGACGGACCTTTGTTCCATATTTGGATCAAATAAGGATCTGATGGGTCTAGCAATCAATGATAGCTTTCTCAGTGCCTCCCTAGTAAGGATCCTGTGTGAACAAATAGCCTCTGACACCTGTCATCTCCAGAGAGTGGTGTAAGTAGAAACTAATTCATGAACTCAAATCCTTAGGGTATGAAAATGGTACAATGTTAACATCGGAGCAATATTCAGATTCCTGTACTAGACTCTTAAGTGCTCGAGACACAGGGAATTGAGAGAGTCCTGTCCTTAAATTTATTTTGTGGGATAATCGTATAAAGTAATTTCTAGGGGCTGGGCATGGTGGTTCACACTTGTAATTCCAACACTTCGGGAGGCCGAGGCAGACAGATCACTTGAGGTCAGGAGTTCGAGACCAGCCTGGCCAACGTGACAAAACCCTGCCTCTACTAAAAATACAAAAATTATCCAGGCGTGGTGGCAGGCACCTGTAATATCAGCTACTTGGGAGGCTGAGGCAGGAGAATTACTTGAACCCAGGAGGCGGAGGTTGCAGTGAACCAAGATCCTGCCACTGGACTCCAGTCTGAGTGACAGAGCGAGACTGCGTCTCAAAAAAAAAAAAAAAAAAAAAGAAAAAGAAAAAAAGGGCCGGGCACAATGGCTCACGCCTGTAGTCCCAGCACTTTGGGGGCCCAAGGTGGGGGGATCACTTGAGGTCAGGAGTTCAAGACCAGCCTGGCCAAGATGGTGCAAGACCCTGTCTCTACGAAAAATACAAAAATTTGCCAGGTGTCGTGGCAGGTGCCTATAATCCCAGCTACTCCGGATGCTGAGGGTAGGAGTCGCTTGAATCCGGGAGGCAGAGTTTGCTTTGCAGTGAGCCGAGATCGCGCCACTGCACTCCAGCCTGGGCAACAGAGTGAGACTCCATCTCAAAGAAAAAAAAAATCTGTAAAGATGGACAAAAATTTAAACATGGAAAAAATAGTTCCTAAAGTTTAAATATATCGAGCCCCTGGTTTCCATTTAAGTACGATACAGGTGTACACACTAAAGATTTCACTTTCGTTCTCTTTTCCCTAGGTTCAAAAACATTTCCCCAGCTGATGCTCATCGGAACCTCTGCCTAGCTCTTCGAGGTCACAAGACTGTAACGTATCTGACCCTTCAAGGCAATGACCAGGATGATATGTTTCCCGCATTGTGTGAGGTCTTGAGACATCCAGAATGTAACCTGCGATATCTCGGGTATATCTCTTAATCATTAAAATCCTTCATCATACAAACATAAGCTACCACAAGCTTATGTGGCAATTTTGTGTAAATAAGAAAAAGTTCGTTATTCTGACTAGAAACAGTACTAAGGGCAGATGACCCAGGATGCAGCATGGGCTGAACTTGAGTTTCTACTTGCCTTGAACAGTAAACACCCTGGACAACCATACGTGAGGACCCTGAATCCAAAGAAACTCCCAGAATCTTTATCATCTTTTTTTTTTTTTTTATGAAGTCTTGCTCTGTTGCCCAGGCCAAAGTGCAATGGCACGATCTTGGCTCACTGCAACCTCTGTCTCCTGGGTTCAAGTAATTCTGCTGCCTCAGCCTCCCAAGTTGCTGGGATTACAGGCACCCGCCACCACGCCCGGCTAATTTTTGTGCATTTAGTGGAGCTGGTTTCGCCACATTGCCAGGCTGGTCTCGAACTCATGACCTCAGGTGACCTGCCCTCCTCAGGCTCCCAAAGTGCTGGGATTATAGGCATGAGCCACCATGCCCAGCCAGAGTCCTTATGTTTTGGTTTTGGTTTTGGTTTTTTCTTTTTCTTTTTTCTTTTTGAGATGGAGTCTCGCTCTGTCACCCAGGCTGGAGTGCGTTGGTATGATCTCAGGTCACTGCAGCCTCCACCTCCCAGGTTCAAGTGATTCTCCTGCCTCAGCCTCCTGAGTAGCTGGGATTACAGGTGCACACCACCACACCTGGTTAATTTTTGTATTATTAGTAGAGATGGAGTTTTACCACATTGGCCAGGCTGGTCTCGAACTCATGACCTCAGGTGATCTACCCCCCCACCCCCACCCCACCCCGCCGTCGGCCTCCCAAAGTGAGGCATGAGCCACCGTGCCCAGCCCAGAATCTTTATCTTCTATCAGAGATCATTCACTCATGGTTCATGCTTCTCCTGTATGATGATTCAGAATACCAGCTATTGACATTTTTCAAGCAAGAACCCTTCAGGAACATCAAGTTGCCCCTTTTCTGTTAGTCCTCTGGTTTGAGAGCTCTCCCCTTGGGAAGCTGTCCAGTGGCTGCCCAGGCGATGAGAACCTACATGCATCATGGGGTTCCATGAAGCCTCACTTGGCCACACTGGTGTAGTAGGTGGTCATTGGCCTCAAATTATTGCCCTGGGCCAGGCGCAGTGGCTCACGCCTGGGAGGCCGAGGTGGGTGGATCACTTGAGGTCAGGAGTTCAAGACCGGCCTGGTCAACATGGTGAAACTCTGTCTCTACTAATAATACAAAAATTAGCTGGGCATGTTGGCGCACGCCTGTAGTCCCAGCTACTCAGGAGGCTGAGGCAGGAGCATCATTTGAACCTGAGAGGCGGAGGTTGCAGTGAGCTGAGATCACACCACCGCACTCCAGTCTGGGCAACAGTGTGAGACTGTCTCAAAAAAAAAAAAAAAAATCTTGGCTGGGTGCGGTAGCTCATGCCTGTAATCCCAGCACTTTGGGAGGCCAAGGCAGGTGGATCACAAGGTCAGGAGTTCAAGACCAGCCTGGCCAACATGGTGAAACCCCACGTCTACTAAAAATACAAAAACATTAGCTGGGCATGGTGGCGCGTGCCTGTAATCCCAGCTACTCATGGAGGCTGATGCAAGAGAATTGCTTGAACCTAGGAGGCAGAGGTAGCAGTGAGCCAAGATCACGCCATTGCACTCCAGCCTGGGCAACAGAGCAAAACTCCATCTCGAGGACAGAAAAAAAATTGATTGCTCTGGCTCTACTGATACAATCTTAGGCTGCTTAATGGGATCTTAGTTGAATAGGATGCTGTACATCTTACAGGTATTGGAAGGTTGAATGAAACCAAGCCCATGCATTCAATAGTGGCTGCTATCATTACTAACCGTTGCAATTACCCTCTTTTCTTTTTGCCTGAGAATAATGGGATGCAGGGTGAGGGGGAATATTGGGTGAATTAAAGATTTGGGTCACTAATTTCTTTCTTTTTTTCTCAAGATATAGTCTTGCTCTGTCTCCTAGGCTGGAGTGCAGTGCCACAATCTTGGTTCACTGCAACCTCTGCCTCCCGGGTTCAAGTGATTCTTCTCCGTCAACCTCCCAAGTAGCTGGGATTACAGGCACCCACCTGTATTTTTGTATTTCTAGTATTTTGTATTTCTAGTAGAGACAGGGTTACGCCATGCTGGTGGCCAGGGTGGTCTCAAACTCCTGACCTCGGGCAATCCACCACACCCAGCTAATTTTTGGTATATTTAGTAGAGCCGGGGTTTCACCGTGTTGGCTGGGCTGGTCTCGAACTCCTGACCTCAAGTGACATCCATCTTCCAAAATGCTGGGATTACAGCCATGTGCCACCACGCCCAGCTAATTCTTGTATTTTTAGGAGAAATGGGGTTTCATCATGTTGTTCCGGCTGGTCTTAAACTCCTGGCCTCATGATCCACCTGCCTTGGCCTGCCAAAGTCCTGGGATTACAGGCATGAGCCACTGTGCCCAGCCACTCATTTCTTATGAATTTATTCTAACACATTTTCCGGATGAACAGGGCACCTTGAAACATAGGTTAGTGGGCTGGGTATGGTGGCTCCTGCCTGTAATCCCAGTACTTTGGGAGGCCTAGGCTGGTGTATCGCTTGAAGTCAGGAGTTTTTTGTTTTGAGACGGAGTCTTGCTCTGTCGCCCAGGCTAGAGTGCAGTGGAGTGATCTCGGCTTACTGCAACCTCCGCCTCCTGGGTTCAAGTGATTCTCTTGCCTCAGCCTCCTGAGTAGCTGGGACTACAGGCACGTGTCGCCACGCCCATCTAACTTTTGTATGTTTAGTAGAGCCGGGGTTTCACCATGTTGGCCAGGATGGTCTCAAACTCCTGACCTCCTGATCTGCCCACCTCGGCCTCCCAAAGTGCTGGGATTACAGGCATGAGCCATTGCCCCGGCCAAAGTTAGGAGTTTGAGACCAGCCTGGCCAACATGGTAAAACCCCATCTCTACTAAAAAATACAAAAATTAGCCAGGCAAGATGGCATTTGCCTGTAATCCCAGCTACTCAGGAGGCTGAGGCGGGAGAATCTCTTGAATCTGGGAGGCAGAGGTTGCTGTGAGCTGAGATCGCGCCACTACACTCCAGCCAGGGCGACAGAGCATAAATAACTCCCTTTCAAAAAACCAAACAATGAAACATAGGTTAGCGGAGTCTGCATCCAACATTAGAGTCAGATTGACTAAGTTCTGTATTTCCAGCTGATTCCTGGGCGATGTTGGTGCCACTGGTCTGACCACCCTTTGACAACTGCTGCTCCAGATAATTCAAGTCGGGGTATAACACAACCAGTGAGATGTAAACCAAAGACGATTCCACGGTTAGATTCTCAAGAATGACTTGTTCTGCCGGGCGCGGTGGCTCACGCCTGTCATCCCAGCACTCTGGGAGGCCGAGGTGGGCAGATCACCTGAGATTGGGAGTTTGAGACCAGCCTGACCAACATGGAGAGACCCCCACCTCTACTGAAAATACAAAATTAGCTGGGCATGTTGGTGCATGGTGCATGCCTGCAGTCCCAGCTACTCGGGAGGCTGAGGCAGGAGAATCACTTGAACCCAGGAGGCGGAGGTTGCTGTGAGCCGAGATTGCGCCACCTGGGCAACAAGAGTGAGACTCAGTCTCAAAAAAAAAAAAAAAATGACGTGGTCCTATTTCTCCCACAGGTTGGTGTCTTGTTCCGCTACCACTCAGCAGTGGGCTGATCTCTCCTTGGCCCTTGAAGTCAACCAGTCCCTGACGTGCGTAAACCTCTCCGACAATGAGCTTCTGGATGAGGGTGCTAAGTTGCTGTACACAACTTTGAGACACCCCAAGTGCTTTCTGCAGAGGTTGTCGTAAGTCTCTCCTCTCTTACAGAGCAGCTGTGCTTTCGATCTGGGGCCACAGACGAGCAATGGTCATGCCTGACTTGGCTGTATGGAACCTCTCGCTGATGTGAACACCTGTTCCCATGTTTAGATCCAGGCCGATGGCCTGTGAATTTTGTTCTTCTCTCATTCCTATTCCTTCATAGGATCACCAGTGCATGATAGAAGGTGGGGAGTTCACAAGAAGGGGCTTTTGGATGCTGGCACTTGTGGAGCTAGCCGGGAAGGTTGAAGTTGGACCTGTCAACCGTGTTGCCATTTGTGATTCTTTTGTAGGTTGGAAAACTGTCACCTTACAGAAGCCAATTGCAAGGACCTTGCTGCTGTGTTGGTTGTCAGCCGGGAGCTGACACACCTGTGCTTGGCCAAGAACCCCATTGGGAATACAGGGGTGAAGTTTCTGTGTGAGGGCTTGAGGTACCCCGAGTGTAAACTGCAGACCTTGGTGTAAGTCCGTGCTGGCTGCCTGTGTGCGTGGGTGTATATGCACACGCCCCCCACCTCCGGGTTTGAGTAGGGTGGTTATGAGAACACTTAATTCCTCTAAAAGTTCCAAGCATGATGCTAATGACAACTGGTAAGACCTGGGTAGATGATGGTAGGAAAAAAGTATAAGTAGTAGTAGAGTAGTAGTAATATTCTATAGGGATTTGGGGAATGTAGCTGGTTTTCGGGTTTTTTTTTTCCTCTTTATGTATGTATGTATTTTAGAGATGGGATCTCGCCGTGTTGCCTAGGCTGGTCTCAAACTCCTGAGCTCAAGAGATCTGCCTGCCTTGGCCTCCCAAAGTGCTAGAATTACAGGCATGAGCCATGTCACCCCATGCTGTGTTTTCTCTTAATCTGTGTTCTTAGAACTATAACTGTAACATAAATTGCATGCAATTGGTTGTAAATGGAATTCATTTACTTATTTTTTAATGAATGATTTGCAAATCAGGTAGTCTTCTGGGCCAGTGTACGCTCAGACTCCCAATGGAAGCTATTGGAAGCTACATGCTCAATGTGATCCTCCTTTTAATACTAAAATCACAGGACACGTGGCCTGGCATAGTGGCTCACGCCTATAATCCCATCACCTTGGGAGGCCGAAGCAAGGCAGATCCCTTGAGGGCAGGAGTTCAAGACCAGCCTGCCCAACATGGTGAAACATTGTCTCTCTACTAAAAATACAAAAATTAGTCACGCATGGTGGGACATGCCTGTAATCCCAGTTACTCAGGAGGCTAAGGCAGGAGAATCACTTGAACTTCGGAGGTGGAGGTTGCAGTGAGCTGAGATGGCACCACTGAAGTCCAGTCTGGCCAATAGAGCAAGACTCTCTCAAAAAAAAAAAATTATAGGACAAATCTTTAGAAAGGAATTGGGGCCTGGCATGGTGGCTCATGCCTGTAATCTCAGCACTTTAGGAGGCGGGCAGAACACCTGAGGTCAGGAGTTTGAGACCAGCCTGGCTGATGCAGTGAAACCCTGTCTCTACTAAAAATACAAAAATTAGCTAGGCGTGGTGGTATGGTCCTGTAATCCCAGCTACTTGGGAGGCTGAGGCAGGAGAATCGCTTGAAGTCGGGAGGTTGCAGTGAGCCGAGATCGTGCCAGCCTGGGTGACAGAACGAGATTGTCTCAAAAAAAAAAAAAAATTGTATCTGCACTGATGGTTTCTGTTCAGAGATTCGATTTTATGTTAACATCTCTGGTATTTTTTTTTTTTTTTTTTAAGATGGAGTTTTACTCTTGCCCACGCTGGCAATGGCATGATCTAGGCTCACTGCAACCTCCGGCTTCAAGGAGGTTGATTCTCCTGCCTCAGCCTCCTGAGTAGCTGGGATTACAGGCACTCACCACCACGCCGGGCTAATTTTTATATTTTTAGTAGAGATGGGATTTCACCATGTTGGCCAGGTTGGTCTCGAACTGACCTCATGATCCGCCCGCCTCAGCCTTCCAAAGTGCTAGGATTTACAGGCATGAGCCACTGCGTCCAGCCATACATATCTCTGGTATTCTTTGTCTCTAACATCACCTCCAACAGTTAGGAACTGTCCTCTTCCTATGAAGTAACTAATCTAGGATATGTACCTGGCATCTGAAAACTACCCACTTAAATTTAATGACATATTCAGTTCATGGCTGGAGACGATGAGTAGAAGGAAAGGATTCTTCCCACACCCACTATATCTAGGCCCTGAAACATTAAAAAAGAAGTCCCACAAGCAGTGAGATGTCACCGACTCACTAACTGTATCTTCAAATGAATGTCTAGTTTTTTTGGTTGTGTGTGTGTGTGGTGTGTGGTGTGTGTGGTATTTTTTTGGGGGGGGGGGGGTTTTCTTTTTTTTTTTTTTTTGGTTTTTTTTTTTTGATAGTCTTGCTCTGTCGCCCAGGCTGGAATGCAGTGGCTCCATCTCAGCTCACTGCAACCTCCACCTCCTGAGTTCAGGTGTGATTCTCCTGCCTCAGCCTCCCAGGGATTAAGGTGCATGCCACCACGCCCAGCTAACTTCTTTATTTTTAGTAGAGACGAGTTTTCACCATGTTGGTCAAGCTGGTCTCGAATTCCTGACCTCAGGTGATCCACCCACCTCAGCCTCCCAAAGTGCTGGGATTACAGGTGTGAGCCACCGTGCCGGCCCCCTCAATTCAACTTTTTGATCCATGCCCCTATTTTGCTAAGTTGTCAACTTCCCTTTAGTCTTATGTGGGTTTTCCTCCATTACAGTCATGGAAGTTTCTAGAAGGCCGGGTAGGGTCTTTGAGAGGCCGAGGCAGGTGGATCATGAGGTCAGGAGTTCAAGACCAGCCTGGCCAACATGGTGAAACCCTGTCTTTACTAAAAATACAAAAATTAGCCAGGCGTGGTGTCGGAGCCTGTAATCCCAGCTTACTTGGGAGGGTGAGGCAGAGAATTGCTTGAACCTGGGAGGCGGAAGTTGCAGTGAGCTGAGATTGTGCCACTGTACTCCAGCCTGGGTGTCAGAGCGAGACTGTCTCAAAAAAAAAAAAAAAAAAGTTTCTATACATTCATAAAGTTTCAAGATTTGGGGGTGTGTTTTCACTTCTCCATCGTCATGGACTCCAATCTGCCATCTATTTCCAAGGCCCTTCCAGGTCCTGTGTCCCTCAGCTAGTGGTATGCTTCACTTGGGACCCAGAGATACATGGGCATTATAGTTCAAATTATAATTAAGTTTAGAACTCTATTGAGACAGAAGAAAGAAAACAGAGCTAAGGTGAAATATCTCTGATAATCTGTGTTGGTTAATATCTAGGATCCTAGTACCAGATATGTTGGAGTGTGAGCTGGTGTCTTCTGCCTGTAAGACACTACCTCTCTAGCAACTGAATTTAGCAAATACAATCGTAATCCCAGCATGTTAGGGAGGCCAGGGTGGGCAGATCATCTGAGGTCGGGAGTTCAAGACCAGCCTGGCCAACATGGGGAAACCCTGTCTCTACTAAAAATACAAAACTTAGCTGGGTGTGGTGGCACGCGCATGTGTGTACACACACACACCCCCCTGTAATCCCAGCTACTCGGAAGGCTGGGGCACAAGAATCGCGTGAAACCAGGAGGCGGAGGTTGAAGTGAGCCACCGTGCCAGCTGAGAATCCTTTTTACTTCTCCAACTTCTGTTGGCCACCTGCATTCCTTGGCTTGTGGCCCTTCCTCCAACTTCGGCAGAGCATCTTCAAACGTTGCCCTGGCTCCCTTATCACGTCACCTCCTGCTGGCTTTGACTCTCAGCTCCCTCTTATGAGGATCCCTGTGATTGCTGGACCTACCCAAATAAACCAGGATATAAACCATCTTAAGATGCTCAGTCACCTCTACGAGGTCCCTTTTGCTCGCAGGTGCCAGGAGTTGGGACTTGGACATCTTTAGGGGAGGCCATTCTTCTGTCCACCACACCACCCCATGATTCCATTTCCATGTCACCACTGTCTCTAAGTGTGTCTAACCCACGGCTCAAGAGTCAAAGGTGCATCACAGCAGTGAGAACTCACAGGTTCGGGTTTGCTTTCTTCCTGTGGTTGATTTCTAGGCTTTGGAACTGCGACATAACTAGCGATGGCTGCTGCGATCTCACAAAGCTTCTCCAAGAAAAATCAAGCCTGTTGTGTTTGGATCTGGGGCTGAATCACATAGGAGTTAAGGGAATGAAGTTCCTGTGTGAGGCTTTGAGGAAACCACTGTGCAACTTGAGATGTCTGTGGTGAGTTAACTTATAAGTTCAACTTCCTATACTTACACCTTACTGAATCTGTGGCTAGTGTAAAATAATCAGTGAAGCCGACTTCCCAAGTTATATAATTGAGAGGACCTTTATAGAGTCGATCGAGCATTTACTAGGATGGTTAAAGGAATAAGTTCTAGTCTATGTCTAAGTTTTTGTTTTTTTTTTTCTTGAAGTTTTGCTCTTGTCACATAGGCTGGAGTGCAGTGGCGTGATCTTGGCTCACTGCAACCTCCGCCTCCCAGGTTCAAGCAATTCTCTTGCTTCAGCTTCCCGAGTAGCTGGGATTACAGGCGCCCGCCACCATGCCCAGCTAATTCTTGTATTTTTAGTAGAGACAGGGTTTCGCCATGTTGAAGGTTCATCTCAAACTCCTGACCTCAGGTGATCCGCCCATCTCGGCCTCCCAAAGTGCTGGGATTACAGGCGTGAGCCACTGCGCCAGGCCCTATGTCTAAGTTCTAGTCTGTGTCATGCAAAGAACACCTGTGAAATTTTAAGGATACAGTGCCTCAAGCCATTCAGCCAAAAGCCACTGCCCAGCACCCCACATTCAGAGAGGTGGGAATTGGGCCAGGCACAGTGGCTCATACCTGTAATCCCAGCACTTCGGGAGGCCGAAGCGGGCGGATCACTTAAGGTCAGGAGCTCAAGACCAGCCTGGCCAACTTGAAACTCCATCTCTACTAAAATATAAAAATTAGCCGAGCATAGTAGTGGGTGCCTCTTTTTTTTTTTTTTTTTTTTTTGAGATAGTTTCACTCTTGTTGCCCAGGCTGTAGTGTAATGGCGCGATCTCAGCTCACTGCAACCTCCACCTCCTGGGTTCAAGTGATTCTCCTGCCTTAGCCTCCCACATAGCTGCAAATAAACAGGCATGTGCCACCATGCCTGGCTAATTTTGTATTTTTAGTATAGACGGGGTTTCTCCATGTTGGTCAGGCTGGTCTCGACCTCCGGACCTCAGGTGAGAGCCACCGTGCCCAGCCAGTAGGTGCCTTTAATCCCAGCTACTTGGGAGGCTGAGGCAGGAGAATCACTTGAACCCTGGAGGCAGAGGTTGCAGTGAGCTGAGATCCTGTCACTACACTCCATCCTGGGCTACAAGAGCAAGACTCCATCTCAGGAAAAAATAAAAAAGAGGTAGGAATTAGATATCGTGCCAGAAAATGCTGGCTCTATCAGCAGGTGAGTGGTCTCAACTTGGCTATCTTACAAATACCTTGTGAGTTAGCTACAATCAGATGCACTTGAACCTGGAATCCTATCTGGGAGGCAATCTTAAAAGAATTTGACTCGGGATGGGCAAGGTGGCTCATGCCTGTAATCCTGGCATTTTGGGAGTCCAAGGCAGGTAGATTGCTTGAGGCCAAGAATTTAAAAACAGCCTGGCCAACACAATGAAGCCCTGTCTCTACTGAAAGTACAAAAATCCGCTGAGCATGGCTGTGTACCTCTGCTCCCAGTTACTCAGGAGGCTGAGGTGGGAGGATCACTTGAGCCTGGGAGGAAGAAGTTACAGCGAATTGAGA
The DNA here is from genome assembly GCF_000001405.40 of Homo sapiens. Lineage (NCBI taxonomy): Eukaryota > Metazoa > Chordata > Mammalia > Primates > Hominidae > Homo > Homo sapiens. The sequence continues at coordinate 975,979 of NW_003571056.2, forward strand.
TCACGTCACCTCACTCCAGCCTGGGTGACAGTGAGATCCTGTCTCAAAAAAAAAAAAAAAACAAAAAAAACAAAGGCGCCTTTTTAATCACTCACTGACACGTGTAGAGGAGCAAAAAGTTTGAGTTGCTGGTTGGCCCAGGAGGTCAAGGCTGCAGTGAGCCAAGATGGCGTTACCACACTCCAGCCTGGGCAACCGAGTGAGACCGTGTTTCAAAAAATAAAGTGGCAGGGTGCAGTGGCTCATGCCTGTAATTCCAGCACTTTGGGAGGCCGAGGCAGGTGGATCACCTAAGGTCAGGAGTTCGTAGACCAGCCTGTCTCTACTAAAGAGACAGGTGAAACCCTGTCTCTCTAAAACCACAAAAATCAGGCAGGCATGGTGGCACATAGCTATAATCTCATCTACTTGGAGGCACGAGAACTGCTTGAATCCAGGAGGCAGAGGCTACAGTGAGCCGAGATCATGCCACAGCACTCCAGCCCTGGCGAGAGAGCAAGACTGTCTCAAAGAATAACTTCAAAGATGGAAGTTATTTAACCTCTCTGCTCAAAAGCCTCAGTGCTTCCCTATGTCAATCCAGGTAAAATCCTATATTGACGATGGCTTCAGGGTCTTCTGTGAGCTGGCCACTGCTTACCTATGACCTCATCTTGACAATCCTCCCTGTCTCACTCATGCCCGCTGCCTGGATGTTCTATTTTACGTGTCAGTCACATGTATCTTCAGGGCCTCTGCACAAGCTATTTCTCTGCCTGGAGAACTCCCCCCCGAGCTCTATGACTCGGTCTCTTCACCCCCTCACCTCCAACCATTGTAGCCAGAACCCCCAGTTATTCCCTGTACCCCTTGCCCTTCAGAACCCCTCATCGCCTCCATATTTTCCTGTTAGCAGATGAGCCCTGAGGGCGGAGACGTTTTGTTTGTTTTTTGAGACCGGAGTCTCACTCTGTCACCCAGGCTGGAGTGCAATGGCGCGATCTCGGCTCACTGCAACCTCCGCCTCCTGGGTTCAAGCGATTCTCCTGCCCCAGCCTCCTGAGTAGCTGGGATTACAGGTGCCTGTCACCACGCCCAGCTAACTTCTGTATATTTAGTAGAGACACGGTTTTACCATGTTAGGTTGGTCTTGAACTCCTTGACCTCAGGTGATCCATCCACCTCGGCCTCCCAAAGTGCTGGGATTACAGGCGTGAACCACCGTGCCCGGCCTGAGACTTCTGTTGGTCATGCAGATCCCCAACACACGAGGGTGGGCTTGGCTTGCCGGAGGGCATCGATCAGCACTGGCTGCATTAACGTGTTGATTTCTGTGTTTCCCCAGGTTGTGGGGATGTTCCATCCCTCCGTTCAGTTGTGAAGACCTCTGCTCTGCCCTCAGCTGCAACCAGAGCCTCGTCACTCTGGACCTGGGTCAGAATCCCTTGGGGTCTAGTGGAGTGAAGATGCTGTTTGAAACCTTGACATGTTCCAGTGGCACCCTCCGGACACTCAGGTATGATCCATTTACTTCCCCATCAGGCTTTCTCCAGAGTGGTAGGTTTAGGGGAAGCATAATGACATGGACCTGCTGTAGGAGACTGATCTGGTAGCTGGATTACAGGTTCCCGCCATCACACCCAGCCAATTTCTGTATTTCACTTGGAGAAACGGGGTTTCACCATGTTGGTCAGGCTGGTCTCAAACTCCTGACCTCAGGTGATCCGCCCGCCTCGGCCTCCCAAAGTGCTGGGATTACAGGCGTGAGCAACCGCACCCGGCCACCTTTTTTTTTTTTTTCCTTTGAGGCAAGAACTCACTATGTTCCCCAGGCTGGAGTCCAGCAGCACAATGATGGCTCGCTGCAGGCTCGCTCCAGCTCCTGGGCTCAAGCAATCCTGCCTCAGTTCCTGAGTAGGTAGGTTTATAAGCATGAACCATTGCACCCAGCCACGGCTGCCGTCTACCTGCTCATGATAGCCATTTGTCACTGGGCTGTGTTTTGTTTGTTGCATTTTGTCAGGGTTTTGGGGTTTTGTTTTGTTTTTTCTTTCTTTTTTTTTTTTTTTTTCTGAGATGGAGTCTCACTCTGTTGCCCAGGCTGGGGTGCAGTGGTTGCTAACTGCAACCTCCACCTCCCAGGTTCCAGCTATTCTCATGCTTCAGCCTCCCAAGTAGCTGGGATTACAGGCATGCACCACCACACCTAGGTAATTTTTGTATTTTTAGTAGAGACAGGGTTTTGCCATGTTGGCCAGGGTGGTCTCAAACTCCTGACCTCCGTGATTTGCCCACCTCAGCATCCCAAAGTGCTGGGATTACAGGCATGAGCCACCGCACCCGGCCTGAGTTGTATTTTGATACCATGGCATCAAAGAACCAAGAAGCCCCTTCCTAGGAATGTGGGAACTTCAGAAATTCTCACAAGCAATATACTCTACTGCTGGCTTAAAATAATCTTTATGTAGAAGAAACATAGATTACTTGTTTATTTAACATGAAACTCAGCCTAAGATACTTTGTAAGTCAAAAGACATATGGACACTAAGGGTTTTTTTAAGCTTTAAGTTTGTTTGTTTGTTTATTTATTATTTATTTTGGAGACAGTTTTACTCTTTTTTTTGGGGTGCATCTTTTTTCTTTTTTTTTTTTTTTTTTCCTTTTTTTTTTTTTTTTTTTTTATTGATCATTCTTGGGTGTTTCTCACAGAGGGGGATTTGGCAGGGTCATAGGACAATAGTGGAGGGAAGGTCAGCAGATAAACAAGTGAACAAAGGTCTCTGGTTTTCCTAGGCAGAGGACCCTGCGGCCTTCCGCAGCGTTTGTGTCCCTGGGTACTTGAGATTAGGGAGTGGTGATGACTCTTAACGAGCGTGCTGCCTTCAGGATCTGTTTAACAAAGCATATCTTGCACCGCCCTTAATCCGTTTAACTCTGAGTGGACACAGCACATGTTTCAGAGAGCACGGGGTTGGGGGTAAGGTCACAGATCAACAGGATCCCAAGGCAGAAGAATTTTTCTTAGTACAGAACAAAATGGGGGGCTGACCCCCCCACCTCCCTCCCGGACAGGGCGGCTGGCCGGTTAGAGGGGCTCCTCACTTCCCATTAGGGGCGGCCGGGCAGAGGCGCCCCTCACCTCCCGGACAGGGCGGCTGGCTGGGCGGGGGGCTGACCCCCCCACCTCCCCGCCCGGCCAGAGTTTTACTCTTGTTGTCCAGCCTGGAGCGCAATGGCGCTATCTCGGCTTACTGCAACCTCCGCCTCCCGGGTTCAAGAGGTTCTCCTCCCTCAGCCTCCCAAGTAGCTGGGACTACAGGCATGTGCCACCACACCTGGCTAATCTTGTATTTTTAATAGAGACAGGGTTTCTCCATATTGGTCAGGCTGGTCTCGAACTCCTGACTTCAGGTGACCCGCCTGCCTCAGCCTCCCAAAGTGCTAAGATTACAGGCGTGAGCCACCATGCCTGGCCTGCATCTCCTCTGTTTAACTGGTACTCCGGGGTCCACTGAGTAGAAGTTGCCAAAGTGGGTGATAGAGCGGGTAAGCAGGTATTAGAGCTATAGCCCAGCTGTACTCAGCAATTCCATTTTCTGTGTATGATAATCAACAAGCATCTCAAACTGCACAATGGCTATATACCATTACAAGGTTAACCTGATGTTATGTTTTTCTCTATCAGATCAACATGGTTGAGAATAAGAGGAATGAAAAAAAGGATTAAAAAGAGAAATGAAAGTCTTTAATATTACATTTTATTATTTACTTCATTTATTTTTTAGACAAAAATCTCACTCTATTGCTCAGGCTGGAGTGCAGGGGCCCGATCTCAGCTCACTGTAACCTCCGCCTCCCAGGTTCAAGTGATTCTCCTGTGTCAGCTTCCTGAGTAGCTGGGATTATAGGGATGCACCATCACACCCAACTAACTTTTATATTTTTAGTAGAGATGGACTTTCACCATCTTGCCTAGGCTGGTCTCAAACTCCTGACCTCAAGTGATCTGCCCACCTCACTCTCCCAAAGTGCTGGCATTACAGGCATGACCCACCACATCTGGCCTCATTTTATATTTAAAAATAAAAAATAAGCAAATCAAGCCAGGTACAGTTTAGGCAACATGGTAAAACCCCAACTCTACTAAAAATACAAAAATTAGCTGAGCATGGTGGCAGGTGCCTGTAGTCCCAGCTACTCGGGAGGCAGAGGATAGGATGGCTTGAACCCAAGAGGCACAGGTTGCAGTGAGCTGAGATGGTACCACTGCACTCCAGCTTGGGCAACAGAGAGACTGTCTTTTTTTTTTTTTTTTTTTTTTTTTTTTTTTTTTTTTTTGAGATCGCCCAGGCTGGAGTACAGTGGCACGATCTCGGCTCACTGCAAGCTCCGCCTCCCGGGTTCACACCATTCTCCTGCCTCAGCCTCCTGAGTAGCTGGGACTACAGGCGTCCGCCACCACGCCCGGCTAATTTTTTGTATTTTTTTAGTAGAGACAGGGTTTCACCGTGTTAGCCAGGATGGTCTTGATCTGCTGACCTCGTGATCCACCCGCCTCAGCCTCCTAAAGTGCTGGGAATTACAGGCGTGAGCCATCACGCCCCACCTGAGACTGTCTTTTAAAAAAAAAAAAAAAAAATCAATGTGGAACACTCCTTTGCCACCTAGAATAATCAGGAAAGGTGACCCATGCCCTGTGCCTCCTTAACAGACTTTCAGGTACTTGGGAATTTGAAACAAATCTCCTTGATGCACAAAGTAACCTTTTCTTCCCCCATTGTACCCCAGGTTGAAAATCGATGACTTTAATGATGAACTCAATAAGCTGCTGGAAGAAATAGAAGAAAAAAACCCACAACTGATTATTGATACTGAGAAACATCATCCCTGGGCAGAAAGGCCTTCTTCTCATGACTTCATGATCTGAATCCCCCCGAGTCATTCATTCTCCATGAAGTCATCGATTTTCCAGGTGTTGGTGAACTGCCTGTGACTCCTCTCCTCCCCGGCCCCTACCCCTCAGGGATAATGAGTTCATTGCTGGGCTAGATGTTTTAGCCATGATTCTGCCTCTGTTTTATACCTGCACACATCCTTATCTTTGTTACATATGAAATATCTGTATCACGGGTATATTGAGAGAAATAAAGGTGAGAGCATTCACAAATGAAGCTGTTACTTAATAATGGGCTTTGACAAGTTAGAGAAAAGATATCTTACTGGGTAGAACCTGGGGGGTGGGGGAAGTGACAGTGTTTAATTGCATTGATTTCTATTGCCTTGTCAATCTTTGCCTTGCCTTGGTATTTCCTTTCTTTTTTCTTTTCTTTTTTTTTTTTTTTTTTTTTAGACTGAGTTTCACTCTGTTGCCCACGCTGGAGTACACTGGCACGATCTCAGCTTACTACAACCTGGCAGGTTCAAGCGATTCTCCTGTCTCAGCCTCCTGAGTAGCTGGGATTACAAGCATCCCCCACCACACCCGGCTAAATTTTTTTGTATTTTTAATAGAGATGAGGTTTCACCATGTTGGCCAGTCTGGTCTCAAACTCCTGACCTCAAGTGATCCACCCACCTCAGCCTCCCAGAGTGCTGGGATTACAGGCATGAGCCACTGTACCCGGCTTTTTTTTTTTTCTTTTTCTTTTTCCTCAAGCATGAGTGTTGCTCTGTTGCCCAGGCTGGAATACAGCAGCATGATGATAGCTCACTGCAGCCTCAAGCTCCCAGGTTCAAGCGATCCTCCAGCCTCAGCCTCCTCAGTAGCTGGGACTACAGGTGCACACCACCAAACCAGGCCAATTTTTGTGGGATTTTTTTTGAAGACAGGGTCTCACTATGTTGCCCAGGCTGATCTCAAACTCCCAGGCGCAAGTAATATTCCTGCCTCAGCCTCCCAAAGTGCTAGGATTACAGGTGTGAACCACTGTGCCTAGCCTGTCTTGTTACTTGTTGACCTGCGTGGATCACTGCCTGCTGAGTATTACTTGCCAGAGGATTTCTCCTACCAATCTACAATATTTTAGGTGCTTCGGTGTAGCTCATATATGACCATGTCATTGCTCTGATTTTGCTTTTTAAAAATTCTAACTTAAAATAGAATCTCGGCCAGGCACGGTGGCTCACACCTGTAATCCCAGCACTTCGGGAGGCTGAGGTGGGTGGATCACGAAGTCAGGAGTTGGAGACCAACCTGGCCAACGTGGTGAAACCCCGTCTCTACTAAAAATATAAAAAATTAGCCAGGCATGGTGGCACATGCCTGTAATCCCAGCTACTTGGGAGGCTGAGGCAGGAGAATTGCTTAAACCCAGGAGGTGGATGTTGCACTGTGCTGAAGACTGCACTACTGCATTCCAGCTTGGGCAACAGAGTGACTCCTTCTCCAAAAAAAAACAAAATCTCATGGTATGCATAGTTTTTCACTATAGAGTCTCCATTATTTCCTTGTGATACAGAATTCCAAATTCAACAAAGCAGCAGTGCAAGCTCTACGCTGTAAAACCACAAACAAAACGAACTGTACTATAAAGACAACACTAGTTGGCAAAGTTGCTTCTCATGGGGAGACTTTGTTGCTGTCTGTGTTTACTGGATGAGCAAACAAATGGACGGTAAGGGGGAAAAAGAACAGTACAAATTTTTATTAAACACTAATCATGTTTTTTTTTGTTTGTTTTGAGACAGTTTCTTCTTGTTGCCCAGGCTGGAGTGCAATGGCACGATTTTGGCTCACTGCAACCTCCGCCTCCCCGGGTTCAAGCGATTCTCTTGCCTCGACCTACTGAGTAGCTGGGATTATAGGCATGTGCCACCAAGCCTGGCTAATTTTGAATTTTTAGCAGAGACGGGGTTTTTCCATGTTGGTCAGGCTGGTCTCGAACTCCCGACCTCAGGTGATCCACCAGCCTTGGTCTCCCAAAGTGCTGGGATTACAGGTATAAGTCACCGCACCTGGCAACATTTTTTTCTTTTTTTTTTTTTTTTTTTTTTTTTTTTTTGGTGGCAGAATCTTGCTCTTTCACCCAGGCTGGAATGCAATGGCACGATCTCGGGTCACTGCAGCCTCCACCTCCCCAGTTTAAGCAGTTCTCCCATCTCAGCCTCCCATGTAGCTGGGACCACAGGTGTGCACCACTGCACCCAGGTAATTTTTGCATTTTTGGTAGAGATAGGGTTTTGCCACGTTGTCCAGACTGGTCTTGAACTCCTGAGCTCAGGTGATCTGCCCACCTTGGCCTCCCCAAATGCTGGGATTATAGGCATGAGCCACCACACCTGGTCAAAAGTAGTTTTAATATTTAAATTTAAAACTAAAAAAGTTAATCTCTCTTCCTACTTTCATTTCTTCATCAGGGGCTATTGGTTTATTCCCACCGACTAGATCCAAGTTCTCTGATACTACCTTTAAACCACTCCATCACTTTCCAGTTCCACTGCATACAGTGTGGGCTTCTGAGGTTTCCTGGTTCAAGGTGTCCTTGTTCAATGCGGCATGGGTCATTCCCTGAGCATTTTTTTTTTTTTTTGACAGTCTCGCTCCATTGCCCGGTTTGGAGTGCAGTGGTGTGACCTCGGCTTACTGCAGCCTCTGCCTCCCAAGTTCAAGCAATTCTGCCTCAGGCTCCCGGATAATTTTTGCATTTTTAGTAGAGACAGGGTTTCACCGCGCTGGCCAGGCTGGTCTCGAACCCCTAACCTCAAGCGATCTGCCTGCCTCGGTCTCCCAAAGTGCTGGGATTACAGACATAAGCTACCGTGCCCGGCCTCCAGAGCATCTTTATTCTCAGTTTCAGCGGGAAGAAGGGGGAAGGTTGGTAAAAAGAGAGGCACAAAGTTTAAAAAGGACATTGCGTGAAGAAACTAAAGGTTTCTCCTTCTCCACACTATTGACATTTGGGATCGGATCACTACTCGTTGGGAAACGTCCTGTACATTTCCAGGGTGTTCGGCACCATCCCTAGCCTCTACCCCCTAGATACCAGCTCACATCCTCACAGTTAACAGTGATCAAAAATGTCTCTGGGCAGTAGAAAATATTTCCTGAAATGCAAAGTTTTCTTAGGTTGAGAACCATTGTAATCTAGCCCCATCTTTAGAGAAGAAATTGAGTAACGGATCTACATCCATTGAGGAACTATCGACACCCCAGGGGCCCATGAAATGTAAACTCGCACTCACAATTAACCATCTTTCTCCAACGTGTGTATTTCATGTAGCCACACTCTCAGATGCCCACCCCCATGACCTACAAGTCCTAAACAGGGAAACCTGTGGCACATGGGTTCATGTGTGTCTGAATCTATACGTTCAGAGATGAACAAGTACTGCTCTCCCTATACCTGTGACCACTCGCCTCCGCCCATCACTGAATTCTGAAAATGTGGCCTCAGGCTCACAGCAGCATTAGCACTTGCTTGCTCTGGATCTCATCACATTGATGATCAAGAACAAAGTATTCACTGGGTTCTCTGCTAAGGATACAAAAAAAACCATTCCACAATTCCACGGCCATGTTTGCACCCAGGAACCACGAGGGCTGGGTTAGCCCAGATGGTGGGCTTGGGAAATGTTCCTGGAGCAAAAAAAAGAGCCAGAAGTCATGAGAGCCTGACCCCCTCCCCCAACGCGCACACACACACACCACTCTCTACCTCCAAGCCTCATTTTCAGGCTTCTCAAAGCTAAGGTCACTCCCATGAGCTAAGCCGCGCTTTTCTCAATCCTCAGCTCTTCCACAAGAATAGGAAGAACTCTCTCCTGTTCAAGATCCTGTGGCTCAGCTGCAGCTCTGGAAGAAAGACCCCGGTGAGGGTCTTGCTTTTCACAATCCCCAATCCCAGACCACATCCTGTGCCCCAAAACAACTTCCATGGTAACCACATCCTTCAGGAAGTGAAGTCAGGCAGGAAGTCAAGTCAGAAGACGGAATGGGCTGGGCATGGTGGATCGCACCTGTAATCCCAGCACTTTGGGAGGCAGAGGCAGGTGGATCACATGAGGTCAGGAGTTTGAGACCAGCCTGGCCAACATGGTGAAACCCTGTCTCTACTAAAAATACCAAAAGTAGCCAGGCTTGGTGGTGCATGCCTGTAATCCCAGCTACTCTGGAGGCTGAGGCAGGAGAATCGCTTAAACCCGGAAGGCGGAGGTTGCAATGAGCCGAGATCGCACCATTGCACTCCAGCCCGGGGGACAGAAAAAAAAATGTAGCTGAGCATGGTAGTGCACGTCTGTGATCTCAGCTACTTGGGAGTCTGAGGCAGGAGAATCACTTGAACCCAGGCGGTGGAGGTTGCAGTGAGCCAAGATTGTAATAGTCCAATGTGTTCACCTTGCCCACTGCCTAGACAGAGCTGATTCGTCAAGACAGGGAATCGCAATAGAGAATAATTCATGCAGAGCTGGCTCTACGAGAGACCAGAGTTTTATTATTATTCAAATCAGTGTCTCCCAGCATTCAGGAAGCGTTTTTAAGGATAACTTGGTGGGTGGGTGGGAAGCCAGTGAGCCAGGAGTGCTGTTTGGTCAGGGATGAAATCGTGGGAGCCAAAGCTATCTTCTTGCACTCAGTTCCTGAGTGGAGGCCAAAAGATAAGATGGGCCAGTTTATTGATATGGGTGGTGCCAGCTGATCCATCAAGTACAGGGTCTGCAAGTTAAACGCTGATCTTAGAAGCAGTTTAGGGAGGGTCACAATCTTGTAGCCTCCAGCTGCATGACTCCTAAGTCATAATTTCTAATCTCGTGGCTAATGTTCGTCCTACAGGGCCAATCTAGTCCCCAGGCAACAAAGAGGTGTGCTTTGGAAAAGGGCTATCATCTTTGTTTAAACTATAAGTTTCTCCCAAAGTTCAGCCTATGCCCAGGAATGAAAAAGGACAGCTTGGAGGTTAGAAGCAAAATGGAGTCAGTTAAATCTCTTTCACTGTCTCAGTCATAATTTTGGAAAGGTGGTTTCAAGCTGGCACAACTGCACTCCACCCTAGGAGACAGAGCGAGACCCTGTCAAAAAAAAAAAAAAAAAACAAGAAGTGAAGTCAAGATAGGAGGTAAATTCGGAAGACAGGAAGTGGTGGTAGAAGACAAGAAGTGAAGTCATACAGGAAGTAAAGTCAGAAGACAGGAAGTGAAGTAAGAAGACAGGAAGTGGTTGTAGAAGACAGGAAGTGAGGTCATACAGGAAGTAAAATCAGAAGACAGGAAGTGACGTCAAACCAGGATTTGCAGTCGGAGGCAGGCAAGAAGTGAAATCAGAAGACGGGAAGTGGCTGAGGGGAACGTCTTTTCTCTCTCCTGCTCAGCCCGAAGTGAACAGGTAGCATCAGGTGTGCCATTTCAGTGACTGGGCACAGCCCAGGCACCCACATCTCTCTGCAGCGCCTATTCTTGGAACACCAGAGACCTCTACACTATTTTCTGTTGCTTTTTTCCTTCATTTTCAGAGATGAGATCCTGGATTGAATGACTACTATGGAAAGTGATTGACCAAGGTAAGTCACAACTATCTTGTTCTTTAATTTTGGTGTTGTTTGTTATGACTTGTTAGCCGTCTAGCACTCATAGCTTTGCATTTCCACTCTGCATTACTTGTATTTTTATTATTTTGTGATATTCGTAATAATTTATTATAAAACTGTGTTATTTTTGGATATTTTTAAGTTAAAATGCGATTTTTTAACTAAGTGGCAGTATGCAAAGCAAGTGGTTCAGAACTCTCCCCCATTAATAAGTCTTCTCTCCTGAAAGAAACAATTTTGAGACTTCCTGTTCTTAATTCTGTTTAACAGCATACTTCTAAAAGAAAAAGTGTATACTGTTATTATTTATTGTGTTACAAAAATATACACGCACCTTTCATGCACGTCCGTGTGAAGAGACCACCAAACAGGCTTTGTGTGAGCAATAAAGCTTTTAATCACCTGGGTGCAGGTGGGCTGAGTCTGACAAGAGAGTCAGCGAAGGGGGATAGGGGTGGGGCCGTTTTATAGGATGTGGGTAGGTAAAGGAAAATTACAGTCAAAGGGGGGTTGTTCTCTGGCGGGCAGAGTCGGGGTCATAAGGTGCTCAGTAGGGGAGCTTTTGAGCCAGGATGAGCCAGGAGAAGGAATTTCACAAGACAATGTCATCAGTTAAGGCAGGAACAGGCCATTTTCGCTTCTTTTGTGGTGGAATGTCATCAGTTAAGGCACGAACCGGCCATCTGGATGTGTACGTGCAGGTCACAGGGGATATGATGGCTTAGCTTGGGCTCAGAGGCCTGACATTCCTGTCTTCTTATATTAATAAGAAAAATAAAATGAAATAGGGGTAAAGTGTTGGGACAGCAAAAATTTTTGGGGGTGGTATGGAGAGATAATGGGTGATGTTTCTCAAGGCTGCTTTGAGCAGGATTAGGGGCGGCGTGGGAACCTAAAGTGGGAGCGATTAAGCTGAAGGAAGATTTTGTGGTAAGGGGTGACATTGTGGGATTGTTAAAAGAAACATTTGTCATTTAGAATTATTGGTGATGGCCTGGATACAGTTTTGTATGAATTGAAAAACTAAAGGGAATAAGGAAAGGAGAAAAACAGGTATTAAAGGTCTAAGAATTGGGACGACTCAGGACATCTAATTAGAAAGTGCCTAAGGAGGTTCAGCATAGCCTTGCCAGCAAAGATTATTTATTTATTTTAAGAGTTAACAGTGGCGGTATGGGGATAGTACCAGGAGATACCAGCTGTGCTGGCTTGGAGAAACAGTGTAAACTGGCAGTGTAAACAAGAGCAGGGCATGTGTGAGTAGTTGAGAACGGTGAATAGGAGTATGACTAGACAGAAGATAGTAGGGATGACAAGTTTTTTGGGGCACAATCTAAGTTGGTCTGGTGTCTGGAATGAGACTGGGGCCTAATAAAAAGGAGTGTCTACACAGGAGCTTAAATGGGCTGTATCTTGTAGCATTCCAAGGACAGGCCTGAATTCTGGAAGCGAAAATGGTAAAAGTATTGTCCAGTCCTTTTTAAGTTGGTGGCTGAGCTTGGTGAGGTGTGTTTTTAATAGACCATTAGTCTGTCACTGAATACTAAGAGCCTGAAAAAATGCTTGGCTGATTTGACTAATAAAGGCTGGTCTGTTAGCAGACTGTATAGAGGTGGGAAGGCTGAACTGAGGAATTTTGTCTGACAGAAGGGAATGACAAGGCTAAACTGAAGAATTATGTCTGACAGAAGGGAAGAAATGACTGCGGTGGCCTTCTCAGACCCTGTAGGAAAGGACTGTACTTACCCAGTGAAAGTGTCTACCTAGACTAAGAGGTATTTTAGTTATCTTACTCGGGGCATGTTGAGTAAAGCTAATTTGCCAGTCCTGGGCGGGGGCAAATCCTTGAGCTTGATGTGTAGGGAAGGGAGGGGGCCTGAATAATCCATGAGGAGTAGTAGAATAGCTGATGCAACACTGAGAAGTGATTTCTTTGAGGATAGATTTCCACAATGGAAAGGAAATGAGAGGTTCTAAGAGGCTGGCTAGTGGCTTGTACCATAGCATAGCCTGCCTTTGCTGGTGTGTGGCGATTAGGCCTGGTGGAACCGCCATCAATAAACTAAGTGTGATCAGGGTGAGAAACAGGGAAGAAGGAAATGTGGGGAAATGGGGTGAACGTCAGGTGGATCAGAGAGATGCAGTCATGGGGGTCAGGTGTGGTATCTGGAATAATGTGGGAGGCCAGATTGAAGTCCGGGCCAGGAACAATGGTAATTGTGGGACTTAACAAAGAGTGAGTACAGCTGAAGGAGCCAGGGAGCAGAAAGTATATGCATCAGGTGTGAGTAAGAAAATAGATTTTGGAAATTATGAGAGCTGTAGAGAGTGAGTTGAGCATAGTTTGTGATTTTGAGGGCCTCTAAAAGTATTAAAGCAGCGGCAGCCACAGCACGCAGATATGAGGGCTAGGCTAAAACAGTAAGGTCAAGTTGTTTGGACAGAAAGGCTACAGGGTGTGGTCCTGGCTCTTGTGTAAGAGTTCTGACCGCGCTAACCATGCCTAGGAAGGAAAGGAGTTGTTGTTTTGTAGAAGGTGCTGGGGCTTGAGAGATCAGTCAGACACGATCAGCAGGGAGAGCACGTGTGTTTTTATGAGAATTATGCCGAGATAGGTAACAGATGAGGATGAACTTTGGGCTTGACTGAAGTAATGGGGGCTGTCTGTGAAACCTTGCAGCAGTACAGCCCAGGTAATTTGCTGAGCCTAATGGGTGTCAGGGTCAGTCCAAGTGAAAGCGAAGAGAGGCTGGGACGAGGGGTGCAGGGGAATAGTGAAAAAAGCATCTTTAAGATCAAGCATGGAATAGTGAGTTGTGGAGGAAGGTATTGAGGACAAAAGAGTGTAGGGGTTGGGCACCACAGGGTGCATAGGCAAAACAATTTGATAAGGCGCAGATCCTGAACTAATCTGTAAGACTTTTCCGGTTTTTGGACAGGTAAAATGGGGGAATTGTAAGGAGAGTTTATAGGTTTTAGAAGCCCATGCTATAGCAGGCGAGTGATAACAGGCTTTAATCCTTTTAAAGTGTGCTGTGGGATGGGATATTGGCATTGAGCAGGGTAAGGGTGATTAGGTTTTAATGGGATGGTAACGGGTATGTGATCAGTTGCCAGGGAAGGAGTAGAGATGTCCCATACTTGTGGGTTAAGGTGGGGGAATAGGAGAGGAAGACGCGAAGGAGGCTTTGGGTTGAGGAGAAGGGTGGCAATGAGATGCGGCTGTAGTCCAGGAATAGTCAGGGAAGCAGATAATTTGGTTAAAATATCTCGGCCTAATAAGGGAACTGGGCAGGTGGGGATAACTAAAAAAGAGTGCATAAAAGAGTGTTGTCCAAGTTGGCACCAGAGTGGGGGAGTTTTCAGGGGTTTAGAAGCCTGGCCGTCAATACCCACAACAGTTATGGAGGCAAGAGAAACAGGCCCTTGAAAAGAAGGTAATGTGGAGTGGGTAGCCTCCGTATTGACTAAGGCGACGGACTTACCTTCCACCGTGAGTGTTACCCGAAGCTCGGCATCCGTGATGGTCTACAGAGCTTCCGAGGCGATTGGGCAGCATCAGTCTTCAGCCGCTAAGCCGAGAAGGAGTCAGAGAGCCTTGGGCCAGAGTTCCAGGGGCTCTGGGAGTGGCTGCCAGGTGAGTTGAACAGTCCGATTTCCAGTGGGGTCCCGCACAGATGGGACACGGCTTAGGAGGAATCCTGGGCTGCAGGCATTCCTTGGCCTGGTGGTCAGATTTCTGGCACTTGTAGCAAGCTCCTGGGGGAGGAGGTTCTGGAGGAACGCCTGGCCGCTGCGGTTCAGTTCCCTTCTTGTGTGCTGGAGATGTGGCTGGGGTTTGTCTCACAGTGGAGGCAAGGAATTGCAACTTTTTTCTATTATTGTACACCTTGAAGGCGAGGTTAATTAAATCCTGTTGTGGGGTTTGAGGGCCGGAATTTAATTTTTGGAGTTTTATTTAATGTCGGGAGCAGATTGGGTAATAAAATGTGTATTAAGAATAAGACGGCCTTTTGACTTTTAAGGGTCTAGGGCTGTAAAGCTTCTCAGGGTTGCTGGCGAACGAGCCATGAATTGGGCTGGATTTTTATATTTGATGAAAAAGAGCCTAAACACTATCTGATTTGGGATAAAGAAAAAGGAGCATTAACCTTGACTATGCCTTTAGCTCCAGCCACCTTTCTAAGAGTAAATTGCTGGGCAGGTGGAAGAGGGCTAGTCACTGAACGAAACTGTAAGCTGGACCAGGTGTGGGGAGGGGAGGTGATAAAAAGATAATACGGTGGAGGAGCGGAGGCTGAGGAAGAATTGGGACCTAGCTCAGCCTGGGGAGGAGGGAGAGGTCAGACGGGTCTGTAGAAAAGGAAGATTAGAAAGACTCAGCGACGCTTGGGGTTGAGACTGAGGGGACAGGCAGGAGGGAAAGAAGGAAGATTTGGGACGAGTTGCACTGGGCACAGAGACTAGGAAGGGACTGATGTGTAAAAGAATGCCTGGACGTCAGGCACCTCAGACCGTTTGCCCATTTTACGACAAGAATTATTTAGATCTTGCAGGATGGAAAAATTGAAAGTGCTGTTTTCTGGCTATTTGGAACTGCTGTCCAGTTTGTATTGGGGTCAAGCGGCATTGCAGAAGAAAATAAGGCATTTAGGTTTTAGGTCAGGTGTGAGTTGAAGAGGTTTTAAGTTTTTGAGAACACAGGCCAAGGGAGAGAAGGAGGAGGAATGGAGGGTGGAAGGTTGCCCATAGTGAAGGAGGCAAGCCTAGAGAAAAGAGAGAGTAGAGACACGGAGGGAAGGGGTTCGGGAGTTCTTACCTTCCAGAAAAGCGGGAAAGGGGTTGGGGCATGGATATAAGGGGTTGGGGCACAGAGATAAGAGGTTGGGGCATGGAAATAAGGGATCAGGGTGCAGAGATACGAGGTTGGGGTACTTGCCCCTCTAGAAAAGCGGGACTTGCCGCTAAGAGTGAAGGAGAAGGGGTTGGGGGTTTCTTGCCCCCCAGAAAGGTGGAGAAGGGGTAGAGACATGGAGAGGAGGGGTTGGGGAACTTGCCCCTTCCCCAGAAAAGTGGGACTTGCCACTAAGGGTGAAGGACCAAGGCAGGCATCCCTGCGTGATCTGACACCTCTGAAGCGTGGGTATATAATCAGAGAGGCGTCCCTGCAATGATTAAACGCCAAGGGAAGGCTGCCTTCCCTAGTCCGTGACCGGCGCCGGAGTTTTGGGTCCACAGATAAAACGTGTCTCCTTTGTCTCTACCAGAAAATGAAAGGAATTGAAATTAAGAGAAGGGAGAGATTGAAGAGTGGAAAGGAGAAAGTGGTTGAGGGACAGTGAGAGAGGTTGGAGAAGAGAGTAAGAAGAGGTCGCTTACCCAATTTAAACTTGGTGAGATGTTCCTTGGGCTGGTGGGTCTGAGGACCTGAGGTCGTAGGTGGATCTTTTTCACAGAGCAAAGAGCAAGACAGGGGATTGATCTCCCAAGGGAGGTCCCCCGATCCAAGTCACGGCACCAAATTTCATGTGCGTCCATGTGAAGAGACCACCAAACAGGCTTTGTGTGAGCAATAAAGCTTTTAATCACCTGGGTGCAGGTGGGCTGAGTCCGACAAGAGAGTCAGCGAAGGGGGATGGGGTGGGGCCGTTTTATAGGATTTGGGTAGGTAAAGGAAAATTACAGTCAAAGCGGGGTTGTTCTCTGGCGGGCAGAGTGGGGGTCACAAGGTGCTCTGTAGGGGAGCTTTTGAGCCAGGATGAGCCAGGAGAAGGAATTTCACAAGACAATGTCATCAGTTAAGGCAGTAACAGGCCATTTTCACTTCTTTTGTGGTGGAATGTCATCAGTTAAGGCAGGAACCAGCCATATGGATGTGTACGTGCAGGTCACAGGGGATATGATGGCTTAGCTTGGGCTCAGAGGCCTGACAGCACCTACCTAAAAAATTCCAATAGCACTAAAAGGGTGTGTACAAAATGCAGTGGCTGACTAACCATCTCCTCCATTGCTCCGCCTAAGAGACACCCACTTTTAGCTGTTTTCTTTAGGAACTTGTTAATATTAGGTTTCTAAAAACATGTAACCATGTGAATGAGCTTAGACTTACTGGATTCCTATCATAATAGGCGGGGCCTTAGTTATTCTACAGCGTTGTTCTTACTGTTTTTTCTCTTCCAATGTTTATCTCTATGTCTGCATATCAACATTCAGTATCACATTTTTTTTTTTTGAGACAGAGTCTCACTCTGTCACCCAGGCTGGAGTGCAGTGGCGCAATCTCAGCTCACTGCAGCCTCAGTCTCCTGAGTAGCTGGGACTACAGGCGTGTGCCACCACGACTGGCTAATTTTTGTATTTTTAGTAGAGACAGGGTTTCACCATGTTGGCTGAGCTGGTCTCGATCTCCTGACCTCGTGATCTGCCCACCTCAGCCTCCCGAAGTGCTGGGATTACAGGCATGAGCCACCACGCCCGGCCAGTATCACATGTTTATACCCACAGATATTCGCAGCCGAGAATTTTCGGGTAATATAACTTGCTTCTTTTATTTTTGTTGTTGTTATTGTTCCCCTAAAGTTTATATTTGTTTTTTATTTTTATTTTCTTTTGAGGCAGGGTCTCACTCTGTCACCCAGGTTTGACAGCAGTGGTGCAATCATGGCTCACTGCAGCCTCAACCTCCCCGGGCTCAGGTGATCCCCAACCTCAGCCTCCTGAGTACCTGAGAGTAGGCATGTGGTACCACACCCAGCTAATTTTTTATATTTTTTGTATATGAGACAAGGTTTCACCATGTTGCCCAGGCTGGTCTCGAACTCTTAGGCTCAAGCGATCCCGCCTCAGCCTCCCAAAGTGCTGGGATTACAGGTGTGAGCCACTGTGCCTAGGCTATACTGGTCTTTTTAAAATCTACTTAGTTTACTTGACCTCTAAAATTATTTTTCCTCTGTCTTCTGATAGCATCTCAGTATGATTTTCCACTATGTTAAGACGAGG
The DNA here is from genome assembly GCF_000001405.40 of Homo sapiens. NCBI lineage: Eukaryota > Metazoa > Chordata > Mammalia > Primates > Hominidae > Homo > Homo sapiens. The sequence continues at coordinate 993,477 of NW_003571056.2, forward strand.
AATTGACCCATTCTTACATTTGGAGGCTTCTCTAAGCAACTTTCCCATTCCCCCTTCACCCAAGCTGTGTGCTCACTAGCCCTGATTCACAGCCGTCGTCCTGGAACTTCTTGGTGCCATCCTTCTGTCTTTTCCCAAGTGACTCACCTACCTCAACCTCCCAAAGTGCCGGGATTACAGGCGTGAGCCACTGTGGCCAGCCATTCTTTTCCTTTTTTAAAACAATTTTTATCTTCTTTATTTTAAGTAGAGATGGGGTCTCACTATGTTGCCCAGGCTGGTCTTGAACTCCTGGGCTCAAGCGATCCTCCTGCCTTGGCCTCCCACAGTGCTAGGATTACAGACATGATCCACTGCACTTGGCCCAGTGGTACAGTTTTACACTCATTAGATGGTCAAGAAATGCCTAAACGCTATAATAAATATAGAACTTTACCTTGAGAAGACCTAACATTTCCTTCAGAAAGTAAATATGAGAGGGGTGGAGACGGTGCATTATCTTATTTTTATGATTTTAAAAATGTATACAGAATTGTACATATTTATGGGGTGGACAGCAATATTGCAGTACATGTATACAACGTGCTATGATCAAATCAGGGTAATTGACATATTCATCCCTGTATTTTTTGAGACAAAGTCAGGCTTCGTCACCCGAGCTAGAGTGCAGTGGTGTGATCTCAGCTCACTGCAACCTCTGCCTCCCAGGCTCAAGCCATTCTCCCACCTCAGCCCCCTGAGTTGCTGGGAGTATAGGGATGCACCACCACACCTGGCTAATTTTTGTGTTTTTTTGTTTTGTTGGTAGAGATGAGGTTTCACCATGTTGCACAGGCTGATCTTGTTTTCTAATGTGAAGGGAAGCGGGCAACGTGCTAGTTTTACACTAAGGAAAATGAATGACATACCCAAACTGCCTGCAAGACCCGTTCTGAGAGACGAAAGGAGATTTGTTAGACCGCAGTGGGAGATGGAGTGAGGGTGAGAGTTTCTGGGGAAAACCAGACAAGAGCACAGAGGGCCAAAGGGAAGCACGGGAGGATTTTGCACAGAGGATGGAACAGAGTCAACCCTGAGAGCTGGGAACCTTAGAGATCCGTCTGGAGCCCATATTAGAGAGGTTGAAGAAAGAGGCCAGTATGTGGTCCAGCCAGGGTACCATGTCATCCACAGTGTGCAGGGAGGAGGATGGGGTCTCCACAGATTCCTTCCATCCCAAATGGAGGGTGCCCTCAGACAGAGAGGCAGACAGACAGACAGACACTGGCCGAACGGCTCCCTGATGGAACACCAGGAGGAGGCAGCATGGCCTCGTTTCCACAGCTGTAGCCTCTGCCCTCCTGCTTCCACGCTCCACACACGCCAGTCTTTGAGTCGCCTCCCATGCCATGATCCCTCCCTTGGATACGACCGTGCCTGGGGTTCAGCGGTCATGAACATAACCCGCGGCTGTGAACATCCTGTCGGCCTCCATCCTGACCCCCGTTTGATTTCCGGGTCAGCGGGAGGGGCGGGAGGGGCGGAAGCGGCCTCTGCACAGCCCTGCCCCTGTGCCGCAGGCGCTTCCTCCGGCTGTGCCAGTCCTCTGCCAGAAACCCCGCCAGGATTATTAGGATCACAGCCCCGAGGCATATCCGGACCAGGTTGCCCTTGGTGTAGTACTGGCGGGCAGGACCTGGAGGAATGAGGAGAGGCAGGAGCAGGTGAAAGAGCCCACCTCCAGGACCCCCTCCAAGCCACATCTGGGCTTCTCAGAGATCCTATTATTCTCTACTAGCTAGGGGATGCCGCTCACTTTCCTGGAGGGTCCCTCCCTTCCCGAGTAGGGGTCAGGGCCAGATGACCCCAATTCTCTAAGTAGCACCTCTCCCTCCTGTGCTCTCACAGGGCTCTGAGACAACTCCTCCCCAGACACAGATGCTGCCTCGTTATCTGATGCATTGCAAAAGAGAGGACAGTTATAAGGGGTGGGGAAGAGATGGAATCTCTCTTTCTCTGACCCTTTTTAAAATCTCAACCTTCCCACCTGATCTTAATGCCCAATTCTGAACCCCATACGCTGATATTCTGCCTTTACTCTACACACTGGAACCCAAGATCTGAGAGCTGCAGCCCCTGCGTAGACAAAGGAGTTGGCTTTGGTGAAGAGACGGGTGAGAAGGAAGGGGGTCTGGAGAGGATGACTTACTCACCAGCTGGAGAGTCTGACTCCTTTGGACTGGCGGTGATACTCCTAGAAGTCTCTGGGAACCAAACAAAGGCTAAGTGTGAAATGAAACCATATTCCCGCCCCCTGTCACTGTGCCTACTCCGAACACACACACACATGGGGAGGCACAATTCCACAGCATTTAAGAAAAGCATGGGCCGGGCACGGTGCCTCATGCCTATAATCCCAGCACTTTGGGAGGCTGAGGTAGGAGGCTGGCTTGAGTCCAGGAGTTCAAGACCAACCTGAGCAACATAGAAAAACCCTATCTCTACAAAAAAATACAAAAATTAGCCAGGCGTGGTGGCACGTGCCAGTAATCCCAGCTACTCAGTGGAGGCTGAGGCAGGAAGATCACCTGAGCCCTGGGAGGTTGAGGCTGCAGTGAGCCAGGATTGTACCACTGCACTCTAGCCTGGGAAACAGAGCGAGACCCTGTCCAAAAAAAAAAAAGCAAGAACTGTAGAGTCAGGCTGTCCTCCAGATTTGAACCCCAACTCTATCACCTATTAGATGTCAGTTATCTGGCAAGTGACTCAGCATCTGTGAGCCAGTTCCCCATGTGTCCAATAAAATTAACAAGATCCCTTATAGGTTGATGTGAAAGTCAAGATAATAATAATGGTAGAAATATAAAGCACCGTGCTTGACATATGAGCACCTCATACGTGCCAGCTTTTTTTTTTTTTTTTTTGAGACAGAGTCTGGCTCTGTCTCCCAGGCTGGAGTGCAGTGGCCCGATGTCGGCTCACTTCAACCTCCGCCTCCTGGGCTCAAGCGATTCTCCTGCCTCAGCCTCCCGAGTAGCTGGGACTACAGGCGTCCGCCACCACGCCCAGCTAAGTTTTGTATTTTTAGTAGAGATGGGATTTCACCATATTGGCCAGGTTGGTTTTGAACTCCTGACCTTGTGATCCGCCCGCCTAGGCCTCCCAAAGTGCTGGGATTACAGGCGTGAGCCACTGCACCCGGCCTCCAGCTCTCTTATTCCTCAAGTATCTCCTGAGACTCGCCAGGTACTCAGCCATGTGCTGGGCCATGGGAACCCAAATATTAATAAGACATTGTCAGGCCAGGCATGACACTGGCTGAATGCCTGTAATCCCAGCACTTTGGGAGGCCAAGGTGGGCGGATCACCTGAGGTCAAGAGATCGAGACCATCCTGGCCAACATGGTGAAACCCCGTCTTTACTAAAAATACAAAAAATAGCTGGGCATGGTGGCACACACCTGTAGTCCCAGCTACTCAGGAGCCGGAGATTGCAGTGAGCTGAGATCGCAGAGTGAGCCGAAATCACAGATCACAGAGTGAGCAGAGTGAGACTCCGTCTCAAAAACAACAACAAAAAACAAAAAAACCATAAGACATTGTCCATCTGCGGTTCCCAGACTATTGCAGGAGACCAAAAAGTAAAGCGATTTTTTTTTTTTTTTAATACGGAGTCTCACTCTGTTGCCCAGGCTGGAGTGCTGTGGTGTGATCTCAGGTCACTGCAACCTCCAACTCGTGAGTTCAAGCGATTCTCCTGCCTCAGCCTCCCAAGTAGCTGGAATTACAGGTGCCCACCACCACGCCCGGCTAATTTTTGTATTTTCAGTAGAGACGGGGTTTCAGCATGTTGGCCAGGCTGGTCTCCTGACCTCAGGTGATCCACTCACCTTGGCCTCCCAAAGTGCTGGGATTACAGACAAAGCGATAATTTTAATATACTGTAAAAATTGCTGTAATAGGCAGCCCACAAGACACTGAGCGAGAGCAGAGGAAACCATCGATCCAGCCTGGACGGTCAAGGCTTTCTTGAGGAATTGATGCCATGGGGAAATGGAAGAAAAGGCAGAGTGAGTGGGTTGGGTGCAGAGTCAGGAGAGGTTAGGAAGCCTCCAGGAGAGCTTCAAGTGACTGTGTGTGGCTGAGAACAGCATGGGAATGCGTGGAAGGTATGCAGACAAAATTGGAGGGATCAACAGGGGCTGGATATCTAAGCTCACAGAATAGCAAGCTGAGGAATTGGAACTGCATCCTGAGGGTGATTGGGAGGTTCCGAACTGAAGATAGGGAAGGCTTCCATCACAGAACTCCCTGGGATATGCCGGGCGCGGTGGCTCATGCCTCCAATCCCAGCACTTTGGGAGGCCGAGACAGGTGGATCATGAGGTCAGGAGTTCAAGACCAGCCTTCCCAAGATGCTGAAACCCCGTCTCTACTAAAATACAAAAATTAGCCAGGTGTGGTGGCATGCACCTATAATCCCAGCTACTCGGGAGGCTGAGGCAGGAGAATCGCTTGAACCCGGGCAGCAGAGGTTACAGTGAGCCGAGATCGCACCACTGCACTCCAGCCTGGGCGACAGAGCAAGACTCCACCTCAAAAAAATAAAAAATAGAACTACGTGGGATCAGGTGCCTCATGAAAGCCAGAGTCATGTGGGCCCAGTGGAAGTATCTAACCTATTATCAGGGAATCTGTGAAGGTGTTTAGTCTGGAAGGAAATGGAGATTTTCCAGGACAGGCAAGGGGAAAGAGACTGAGGAAAGCGTATCTGCAGAGGCCTGGAGCGGTTAGAAGATGTGCTGTGTCCAGGTGCCTACAGTCTGTGTGCGTCCGAGCATGGGCTCTACCTGGACACAGTGAGGAGCGAGATTAAATACCTGGATCACAGCCGAGTCCAAAGCCTAGGACTTCATCCTGGGAGCAGTGCGTAGGGATGGCGGTCGTCCCGCCACAGCCTTGGCTCCGCCATCTTTGAAATGGCCCCATCACCCAAAACGCTCCTCCTTCTGAACCCCAGAGCTCCACTCTGCACCCATGCTCTAGCCTCACACCAAGGACTTTCTTGGTAAGAGACGGACAGTTCGGTGAAGTGATTAAAAGCCTACAGGCTTAGATAATGGAAGAGAGAGCTCCGTCCTCACACTCCTTTCTGCTGAGCATGAAATGCCTGGTTACTCACCAGTTGTGAAGACTTCGTTTGTGAATGAGACGGTCAGTTCAGCGGTGGCTTCTGAGAATTCTAAGAAAGCAAAACAATGTTAGGTCTTCCCCGTGGTTCCCTATATCCTCTAGATATCTCCATTCCCCTTTTGAGATATCTAGGCTCCCTGAAACCCCTTTCTCTGACACACTGCACAGACACTGAAGACAGACAAATTCGAAAGGTGTAAGACTTATCTTCCATGACCGGCTTAGTAAGAAGCAGATCCGTTCAGCAATTGATAGACACTTGGTTTTTTTTCCACGTTTTGCTGTTATGAATATTGCTGCTGTGAACATTGACGTACAGGTTTTTGTGTGAACATAAGTTTTCTGTTCTCTTGGGTACACACCCAGGGGTGGTGGAATCACTGGGTCATACAGTAACTCTGTGTTTTACTTTTTGAAGAACTACCAGACTTCTTTCTTTTTTTTCTTTTTTTTTTTTTTTTGAGACAGAGTCTCATTCTGTTGCCCAGGCTGGAGTGCAGTGGCGCGATCTCAGCTCACTGCAACCTCCACCTCCTGGGTTCAAGCGATTCTCCTCCCTCAGCCTCCCGAGTAGCTGGGATTACAGGCACCTGCCATCACGCCTGGCCAACTTTTTTTTTTGTACTTTAGTAGAGGCGGGGTTTCACCATGTTGGCCAGGATGGTCTCGATCTCCTGACCTCGTGATCCACCCTCCTTGGCCTCTCAAAGTGCTGGGATTACAGGCTGCGCCTGGCCACAGACTGTTTTTCAAAGCAGCTGCACCATTTTATATTCCCACCAGCAATATAAGAAGGTTCTTCCAAATCCTCACCAATACTTCTTGTCCGTTTGTTTTGTTTTAAAAATCATAGTCATCCTAGTTGGCATGGTGAATTTTATGGTATGTGAATTATATCTCAGTTTGAATAATAAGATGTGGATCCATGTCTTCGTGAGCCTAGAGGAAGAATGAGCTCGTGTTAGCCTCAGAACACGGGATCTCCACCTTCCAACTTAGGCCATTTTCTTTTTTTCTTTTTTTTTTTTTTTTTGAGACAGAGTCTTACTCTGTCGTCCAGGCTGGAGTGCAGTGGTGCAATCTCGGCTCACTGCAAGCTCTGCCTCCCGGGTTCACACCATTATCCTGCCTCAGCCTCCCGAGTAGCTGGGACTACAGGCACCCGCCACCACGCCTGGCTAATTTTTTTGTATTTTCAGTAGAGATGGGGTTTCACCGTGTTAGCCAGGATGGTCTCGATCTCCTGACCTTGTGATCCACCCGCCTCAGCCTCCCAAAGTGCTGGGAATACAGGCGTGAGCCACCGCGCCCGGCCAGGCCATTTTCTTAACCAGGGGCCTCCTGAGGCCACCAAAATATTCCTGAACTGCCTCAGCTGATAAATACGAAGCTCTTGTTGCAGTGGGTACTATCCTGGGAGTCTTTTTATGGTGGAACCAGCTTGGAAAAAACTAGTTTATGCTCAGCTCTCGGTGGCATAATGAGAGTGTGGGTATTATTTGGTCTTTGTTATTTCTCTTCGTGTGAGATGCATTAATAAACCTTTTTTTTTTTTTTCAATTAAAATTTCAGTTCCAGAATCCATGTGCAGGACGTGCAGGTTTGTTACATAGGTAAACGTGTGCCATGGTGGTTTGCTGCACCCATCAACCCATCACCTAGGTATTAAGCCCCACACGCATCAGCTATTTATCCTGATCCTCTCCCTCCCCCAATTCCCCCTACAGGCCCCAGTGTGTGGTGTTCCCCTCCCTGTGTCCATGTGATCTCATTGTTCAGCTGCCACTTACAAGTGAGAACATGCAGTGTTTGGTTTTCAGTTCCTGTGTTAGTTTGCTGAGGATAATGTTTTCCAGCTCCATCCATGTCCCTGCAAAGGACATGATCTCATTCCTTTTTATGGCTGCATAGTATTCCATGGTGTATATGTACTGTATTTGCTTTATCCTTTCTATCATTGATGGGCATTTGGGTTGATTCCTTGTCTTTGCTATTGTGAATAGTGCTGCAATGAACATATGTGTGCATGTATCTTTATAATACAATGATTTATATTCCTTTGGGTATATAACCAGTAATGGGATTGCTGGGTCAAATGGTATTTCTGGCCAGGCGCAGTGGCTCACACATGTAATCCCAGCACTTTGGGAGGCCGAGGTGGGCAGATCACCTGAGGTCAGGAGCTCAAGACCACCCTGGCCAACATGGTGAAACTCCCGTCTCTAGCAAAAATCCAAAAATTAGCCAGGCGTTGTGGCATGCACCTGCAGTCCCAGCTACTCGGGAGGCTGAGGCAGGAGAATCACTTGAACCCTGGAGGCAGAGGCTGCAGTGAGCCGAGATCATGCCCCTGCAATCCAGCCTGGGTGACAGAGTGAGACTCTGTTTAAAAAAAAAAAAAAAAAAAAAAGGTGGCCCTGGTGCGGTGGCTCACGCCTGTAATCCCAGCACTTTGGGAGGCCGAGGCAGGTGGATCACCTGAGGTCAGAAGTTTGAGACCAGCATGACCAACAAGGTAAAACCCCATCTCTACTAAAAGAAAAAAAAAAAAAAAAGCCAGGCATGGTGGCAGGCGCCTGTAGTCCCAGTTACTTAGGAGGCTGAGACAGGATAATTGCTTGAACCTGGGAGGTGGAGGTTGCAGTGAGCCGAGATCGCACCACTGCACTCCAGCATGGGCTATTGAGCAATACTACATCTCAAAAAAAAAAAAAAGGAAAAAGGATTTCTGGTTCTGGGTCTTTGAGGAATCACCACACTGTCTTCCACAATGAACTAATTTACATTCCCAACAGTGTAAAAGCATTCCTATTTCTCCACAGCCTCGCCAGCACCTGTTGTTTCTTGACTTTTGTTGGTTTTTTTTTTTTTTTTTTGAGATGGAGTCTTGCTCTGTCGCCCAGGCTGGAGTGCAGTGGCACAATCTTGGCTCACTGCAACCTCCGCCTCCCGGGTTCACGCCATTCTCCTGCCTCAGCCTCCCGAATAGCTGGGACTACAGGCGCCCGCCACCACGCCCGGCTAATTTTTTGTATTTTTAATAGAGACGGGGTTTCACCGTGTTAGCCAGGATGGTCTCGATCTCCTGACCTTGTGATCTGCCTGCCTCGGCCTCCCAAAGTGCTGGGATTACCGGCGTGAGCCACCGTGCCCGGCGTTTCTTGACTTTTTAATAATCGCCATTTTGACTGGTGTGAGATGGTGTCTAAATGTGGTTTTGATTTGCATTTCTCTAATGATTGGTGATGTTGAGCTTTTTTTTGTATGTTTACTGGCTGCATAAACGTCTTCTTTTGAGAAGTGACTGTTCATGTCCTTTACCCACTTTTTAATGGTTTTTTTTTTCTTGTAAATTTGTTTAACTTCCTTGTAGATTCTGGATATTAGACTTTTGTGAATTGATAGATTGCAAACATTTTCTCCCATTCTGTAGGTTGTCTGTTCACTCTGATGATACTTTCTTTTGCTGAGCAGAAGCTCTTTAGTTTAGTTAGATCCCATTTGTCAGTTTTTGCTTTTGTTACAATTGCTTTTGACGTTTTTGTCATGAAATCTTTGCCCATGCCTGTGTCCTGAATGGTATTACCTAGATTTTCTTCTAGGGTTTTTATAGTTTTCGGGTTTTGCATCCAAGTCTTTCATCCATCTTGAGTTAATTTTTGTACAAGGTGTAAGGAACGGGTCCAGTTTCTATTTTCTGCATATGGCTAGCCAATTCTCCCAGCACCATTTATTAACCCACAGCCAATTTCATACTAAATGGGCATTTCCCTTGAAAACCAGCACAAGACAAGGATGCCCTCTTTCACCACTCCTATTCAACATAGTATTGGAAGTTCTGGCCAGGATAATCAGGCAAGAGAAAGAAATAAAGGATACTCAAATAGGAAGAGAGGAAATCAAACTATCTCTGTTTGCAGATGACATGATCCTATATCTAGAAAACCCCATCATCTCAGCCCAAAAGTTTCTTAAGCTGATAAGCAACTTCAGCAAAGTCTCAGGATACAAAATCAATGTGCAAAAATCACAAGCATTCCTATACACCAACAATAGACAGGCAGAGAGCCAAATCATGAAGGAACTCCCATTCACAATTGCTACAAAGAGAATAAAATACCTAGGAATACAGCTAACAAGGAAAGTGAAGGACATCTTCAAGGAGAACTACAATTCACTGCTCAAGAAAATCAGAGCGGACACAAACAAATGGAAAAACATTCCATGCTCATGGATAGGATGAATCAATATCGTGAAAATGGCCATACTGCCCAAAGTAATTTATAGATTCATTGCTATTCCCATTGAACTATCATTGACATTCCTCACACAATTAGAAAAAACTATAAAATTCATATGGAACCAAAAAAGGGCCCATATAGCCAAGACAATACTAAGCAAAAAGAACAAAGCTGGAGGCCTCAGGCTCAGACTTCAGACTATATTACAAGGTGATAGTAACCAAAACAGCATGGTACTGGTACAAAAACAGACACATAGACCAATGGAACAGAATAGAGATCTCAGAAATAAGACCACACATCTACAACCATCTGATCTTCAACAAACCTGACAAAAACAAGCAATGGGGAAAGGATTCCCTATTTAATACACCTTGTTTTGATTTTGATTTCAACACAGCGTGTGGTATTTGCATGCCATGTGATACAGTTTGAATATGTGTTCCCACCAAATCTCATACTGGATTATGATCCCCAATGTTGGAGGTGGGGGCCTGGTGGGAGGTGTTTGGATCATAGGGGTGGATCCCTCATTGCTTGGTGCTTTCCTTGCAATAGTAAGTGAATTCTCACAAGATCTGGCTATTGCAAAGTGTGGCATGTCCCCCAGTCCCAACTCTCTCTCTCTCTTGCTCCTGCTCCCACCACATGAGACAGCTACCCCCTCTTTGCCTTCTGCCATGACTGTAAGCTTCCTGAGGCCTCCCCAAAAGCAGAAGCCAGCCTTCTGCTTCCTATACGGCCTTCAGAACCATGAACCAATTAAACCTCTTTTCTTATCAATGATCCAGTCTCAGATATTTATAGCAGCACAAAATCGGCCTAATATAGCATGAAATATTGCTCAGCAATCAAAAGGAACACATCATTGATACATACAGCAGCTTGGATGGGCCTCAGGGGCATTGCACTGAGTGACAAAAGGATATCTCAAACGGTTGCATACTGGATGATCCCATTTACATCAGATTCTAGAAATGGAAGATTATAGAGATGGAGAACAAATTAATGGATACCAGGAGTTAGGGATGGCAAGGGAAGGAGAAGGGTGTAGGTGTGAATATAAAAGGGTAGCCCAAGGGAGGCCCTTGTGAGACGGAAGAGTTCTGTACAGTGACTGCGGTGATGGTGACGCGAATCTACAACTGTGACAAATTGGCATAGAACTAGACACCTACTTTATGCCAATGTCAAATTCCTGGTTTTTATGTTGTACTCTAATTACGTAAGATGTAACCATTAGAGGAAACTGGAAAAAGAGCACATGGGATTCTTCTGTTCTATCATTGTAGACTTCCTGTGACTCTAGAACCATTTCAAAAGAGAAAGTTCAAAAATTCAGTCAGAAGCACACGCACACATATGCACGCATGCACACACACACATATGCACGCATGCACACACATATGCACGCACACACACATATGCACGCACACACGCACATGCACGCACACACACATATGCACGCACACAGTATGTGACCATCTTCCATGTCCCTGCCCACTAGGCATAATAGCCCTCACTCTGCCCTCAACCCCGCAAATCTCATCCTTATCAACCTCGGCTCTTTCCAGCATGTTTCTCCTGCCTTGGTGCTTCACTCTGAGACACAGGGAATGTTAGACACGCCCAGCCTCCAGCCTAGCGTATGATATTCTTAAAGTGCAGGCCGTAGTCTGGTACACCGTATTCAGCTGAGATGTTTGTGAAAGTGGAGGGGATAACACGCCTCACACAAAACTTACCGCAGTGGTTCTCAAAGCAGCATTCTGGAGCCATAGCATCAGCATCACCTGGGAACTTACTAGGAATGAAAATGACTGGATTCACCCCAGACCTACTGAAGCAGAAGCCCTGGGGGCTCAGAAATCTATTCTTTAAGCCTCCAGGTGATTCTTATGCTCATGGAAGTTTGAGAACCGCTGATCAATGCATTCAGTGACTCAGAAACAGAGTCCCGGACTCTACAGGTTTGTTGGTTGGTTGGTTGGTTGGTTGGTTGGTTAGTTTGTTTGTTTTTGTCACCCATATTCAACCAGCTGGACTCCACAGTATAGCAAGCCACTCCGATTATTCTTCTGCATGTTATATGTGATAAACCATCCACCTAGAGTAGGATTGGGGGCAGCATCTTAACATCTAACTACTTAGGACACCCACCCTGTTTACAGGCAGAAATAAAGGATTTTTAAAACAAAGCAAATCTGTGAAAGAACCAACTGAATTAAATCGAGAAGTCTAGGCAGAGAGGAGAGAGAGAAGGGGTCCGTGTACCTCATACGCTGTGCACCAGAATGGACCCTGCAGAACCTACCTGCTACCGGGGAAGGTGGTTCTGTTGGTAACCGGCTGGGGGTCACAGAGGTTCCTGGGAAATCAGAAAATGAGATAAATCTGTGCTCTGTCGCTGTGGGTCCTGAACAAATAACGAAACATCTCCGTGACTGAGTTTCCTCACCGGAAAAATGAGCCTAAAGTAGCTTACATCACTGGACTGTTGTGGATGTTAATAAGCATTTGAGCTGGGTGCAGTGCCTCATGCCTGTAATCCCAGCACTTTGGGAGGCTGAGGAGGGCAGATCACTTGAGGTCAGGAGTTCAAGCCCAGCCTGGCCAGTATGGTGAAACCCCGTCTCCACTAAAAATACAAAAATTAGCCAGGCGTGGTGGTGTGCACCTGTAATCCCAGCTGCTCGGGAGGCTGAGGCAGGAGAATCACTTGAACCTAGGAGGCAGAGGTTGCAGTGATCTGAGATCGCACCACTGCACTCCAGCCTGGGTGACGCAGTAAGACTCCATCTGAAAAAAAAAGGCTTAGCCAGGCGTGGTGGCTCACACCTGTAATCCCAGCACTTTGAGAGGCCGAGGCAGGCAGATCACCTGAGGTCAAGAGTTCAAGACCAGCCTGGCCAACATGGTGAAACCCTGTCTCTACGAAAAATACAAAAATTAGCTGGGCATGATGGCAGGTGCCTGTAATCCCATCTACTCAGGAGGCTGAGGCAGGAGAATCGCTTAAACCCAGGAGGTGGAGGTTGCAGTGAACTGAGATCACTCCACTGCACTCCAGCCTGGGTGACAAAGTGAGACTCCCCCCAAAAAAAAAAAAAAAAAAAAAAGCAGCAGCATTTGTAAAGCACACCTGGCACATTCTGGGCTATTAACAAGGAAATGCATGCAGCTCCCGTCCACCTTTTTCAACCTCAGTTCTATTTCTTCTGGATTCCTGTGTCCTACCCCTCACTGTGACCCTGGGGGCAAAACAGATTTTTCTACCAAAAACTAAATGATGTATTTTGTTTGATTTAATATGACATTGTTAAATGTACTGATCAGTGGCGTTGGGTATGTTCACATTGTGGTACAATATGTTGACCTCTAGAACTTATTTTTCTTGCAAAACTGAAATTCTGTGCCCATTAAACACTAATTCCTTCTCTCTCCTCTTTCTGGCCCTTAACAACCACCATTGTACTTTGTGTTTCTACAGTGTTGACATTAGATACCTCCTTTGACTAGAATCATACAGTAGTTGTCCTTTTGTGACTGACTTAGCATAATGTCCTCAAGGTATATCCATGTTGTAGTATGTGTCAGAATTTCCTTCTTTTTTAAGGCTGCATAATATTCCATTGCATGTATATAACCACATTATGAGGTATGCTGCTCTTTTTTGAAAGAAACCCCCTTTAAGAATGGTAGTCAAGTCCGACGCGGTGGCTCACGCCTGTAATCCCAGCACTTTGGGAGGCCGAGGCGGGCAGATCATGAGGTCAGTTCAAGACCAGCCTGACCAACATAGTGAAACCCCGTCTCTACTAAAAATACAAAAATTGGCCGGGCATGGTGGCAGGCACCTGTAATTCCAGCTACTCGAGAGGCTGAGGCAGCAGAATCGCTTGAACCCGGAAGGCGGAGGTTGCAGTGAGCTGAGATCGCGCCACTGCACTCCAGCCTGGGTGACAGAGTGAGACTTCGTCAAAAAAAAAAAAAAGAAACCTCCATTCTCCCAGCTGCCTGTAGCCCAGGGCTTCCTGCCCTCCCACTTCCTTCCCACCTCTGGCCCCGCCCCTGCAGCCCAGGGCTTCCTGCCCTCCCACTTCCTTCCCACCTACGGCCCCGCCCCTGCAGCCCAGGGCTTCCTGCCCTCCCACTTCCTTCCCACCTACGGCCCCGCCCCTGCAGCCCAGGGCTTCCTGCCCTCCCACTTCCTTCCCACCTACGGCCCCGCCCCTGCAGCCCAGGGCTTCCTGCCCTCCCACTTCCTTCCCACCTACGGCCCCGCCCCTGCAGCCCAGGGCTTCCTGCCCTCCCACTTCCTTCCCACCTACGGCCCCGCCCCTGCAGCCCAGGGCTTCCTGCCCTCCCACTTCCTTCCCACCTCTGGCGCCGCCCCTGCAGCCCAGGGCTTCCTGCCCTCCCACTTCTTTCCCACCTATGGCCGCGCCCCTACAGCCCAGGGCTTCCTGCCCTCCCACTTCCTTCCCACCTACGGCCCCGCCCCTGCAGCCCAGGGCTTCCTGCCCTCCCACTTCCTTCCCACCTACGGCCCCGCCCCTGCAGCCCAGGGCTTCCTGCCCTCCCACTTCCTTCCCACTTATGGCCCCTCCCTTGGAATGGCCATCAGGACCTATAAAGGCTGAGGAAGAAAGGTTTGGTCTGCACTACCCCTACCTGTGACCACAAGCTCCAGGGGGTCGCTGGGGGCTGACCACAGGTATGGGTCCCTGCTGGAGAAGCTGTAGCATCGGTAGGTTCCGCTGTGGGCGGCGGTCACCGTGATGATGGGAAAACTAGCCCTGTACCATCTCTCGGGATTCTTGTAGGGCGCAGGGTCCCCTTCCTTGTACAGAGCAAATTGGTCAAAGCCATACCGAGTCTGACACTGTAGGGTTACGTCCCCTCCTGACGACACCGCCGGGCCGGGCTGGGCTGAGAGCGAGGGTTTGGCAAAAACTCCTGGGAGAAAAAGAAAGTCTGATGTTGAAGGCAGGAGCCAGCATCTCAGCTGAGACTGGGGAGGTCCCCACACCTGCCTAAGAGCTGGGGAGCTTTTTGGCTGTATCCCTCCCAGAGAGCGCACTCCCCCACCCAAGCTCACAGAGAGGTCGAGTCACCCAGTGGTTGAGGAAGGAGGCTGTGCTCACGTCCTAGTGCTTGGGTGCAAATCCTAGTTCTGCCTTCAGGGGCCTGGTGGCCCTGGAGACAAATCTCCCTCTGTATCTGAGCCTCACTGCCTTGTTCTGTTAAAATGGGGATGACTGAATGAGACAGTACACAGTAATTTGCAGAGTGCCTGTTGCCTAGCAAGCGCTGGAGTAAGTAAATAGCTTAAGCTTATACTGTGCTGTAAGCTTGTATTGCCACATACAATTGTTACGTTGTAAATGTGGCTGACAGTGCTAGCTTCCGGGTGCCTTCCAAACTTATGATGTATATCAGTTCAGTGAATCCTCAGAGACCTATGGAGTCCTCACTCTTAATGTCCCTATTTTATAAATGAAACTAAGGCACATGGCATTAAATAATTTGTCCAACTCTAGGTAACAATACTGCAGTGTACAGCTGAAATTTGCTAAGAGGGTAGATTATAAGTATTCTCACACACAAAAAAGTTAACTGTGTCAGGTGATGTATGTTAATTAGCTTGCTAGTAGTAACTGTCTCACAGTGGATTCGTATATCAAAACATCAACTTGTACACCTTGGATATATTCCATTTTTGTTTTTCAATTATACCTCAACAAAGCTGGACATATTTTAATTTAAAAATAAATAAAAAACTTGTCCAAGATCATAAGTGGCAGAGTTGAAATCTGCACTCACAGAGTTTGATTCCAGGGTCTCCGCTCCTAAACACGAACCTACACTACTCTGATGTGAGGTTGTTGTCATAGACCGGTGTGGTGATGCATGCCTGCACACAGGAGTCAGAAAAACAAAGGTTGAGGCTGGGTGCGGCGGCTCACACCGGTCATCCCAGCACTTTGGGAGGCCAAGGTGGGAGGATCGCTTGAGCCCAGGAAGGCGAGGCTGCAGTGAGCTATGATCACTGTACACTAGCCTGGGTGACAGAGTGAGACCTTGTCTCAAAAAAAGACAGAGAGAGAAAGCAAAAGAAAGGAAGTAAGGAAGATAAAAATATAAGCTGCCTAATAATTATGGCATTCACTCAACAAGAAGAAAAAGAAAGAAAGAGGAAGGAAGGGAGGGAGGGAGGAAGGAAGGAAGGAAATATATAAGCTGCCTGATAACTGTAACATTCACTCAGCAATATTTTCTCTTAATTTTCACTTAAGCAACTATTATGTGTCTGTCTGTATTCTTTTTTTGTTGTTTCATTTGTTTTGTTTTGTTTTGTTTTGTTTTGAGACGGAGTCTCGCTCTGTCACCCAGGCTGGAGTGCAATGGCATATATATATATATATATATATATATATATATATATATATATATATATATATATATATATTTTTTTTTTTTTTTTTTTTTTTTTTTTTTTTGGGAAACAGAATCTCACTCTGTTGCCCAGGCTGGAGTGCAGTGGCATGATCCCAGCTCACTGCAACCTCCACCTCCTGGGTTCAAGCGATTCTCCTGCCTCAGCCTCCCGAGTAGCTGGGACTACAGGCATGCACCACCATGCCCAGTTAATTTTGTATGTTTAGTAGAGACAGGGTTTCACCATGTTAGCCAGGCTGATCTCGAACTCCTGACCTCAGGTGATCCGTCCACCTCGGCCTCCCAAAGTGCTGGCATTACAGGCGTGAGCCACCGTGCCCGACCAGGAATTAAAAATAGACAACCACCACCAAGATAAAAAAAGGTATACTTCACATACCAGATAGTGAGGAGGGCCACTTTGACTAGGGTGGTGGGGGATATACTTAGCGAGAAGAGAGTATTTGAGTCTGACCCTGAAAGAAGTAATGAGGCAGCCAGGCTGGTCCATTCTAGTAGCAGAGAGGAGGCCAGTGATGCTGTGGAGGGGAGTGAGGCAGGGAAGAGGGGAGGGAGGCAGGATTTATAACGCGGAATAGACCACAGTGCAGCTGGCCAGGAATTAGGGTGGCGTGAGTGAGGCACTCTCCTGGGATGTAAAATTTAATTATTCCCAAACAATTAACATATTTGAAAAAATTATTGAAAATTTGAAGAGTAGGTCGTTAAAACTCACATTATTCTGTTTGAATACTTTATTCCCCTGAAAGATTTATTAGAATTTTACATTCTAGGCTTTTGTGGATGCAAGCGCATCAGTGCTATTTCCAAAACCTACTTCTAGAAAATAACCATTTAAAAGTGCACTAACTGGGTGCACCTATAGTCCCAGCTACTAGGGAGGACCACTTGAGCCCAGGGATTTGAGGCTAAAGTGAGCTATGATCATGCCTGTGAATACAGCGAGTGTACTAAAGCCTGGGCAACATAGTAAGACCTCTTCTCTTTTTTTTTTTTTCCCAAGACGGAGTCTTGCTCTGTCGCCCAGGCTGGACTGCAGTGGTGCAATCTCGGCTCACCGCCTCCCAGGTTTAAGCGATTCTCCTGCCTCAGCCTCCGGAGTAGCTGGGATTACAGGAGTGCGCCACCGCGCCCAGCTAATTATTATTATTTTTTTTAGTAGAGACGGGGTTTCACCATGTTGGCCAGGCTGGTCTCAAACTCCTGACCTTAAGTGATCCACCCACCTCAGCCTCCCAAAGTACTGGGATTACAGGCGTGAGCCGCCGCGCCCGGCCCAACCTCTTCTCTTAAAAAAAATAAATAAATAAGAAAAGAAATTAGAATATTTGCACCAATCAAGAGTCTAAGGAGACATAAATACTAAATGCACTGTGGGGCCCTGGACGGGGTCTGGGAACAGAAATAGGATATTAGTGGAAAGACTGGTGAAATTCAAATAGCCTGGAGTTTACTTGATATAATATAGTTGTGTCTATGGTTAGTTTTTTGTTTGTTTTTTGATACAGGGTCTCACTCTGTCACCCAGGCTGGAGTGCAGTGGCGTGATCACAGCTCCCTGCAGCCTCGGCCTCCCTGGCTCAAGCGATCCTCCTGCCTCAGCCTCCTGAGTAGCTGGGACTATAGGTGTATGCCACCATGCCCCACTAATTTTTAATTTTGTTTAAAGATGAGGTCTCACTATGTTGCCCAGGCTGGTCTTGAACTCCTGAGCTCAAGCAATCCTCCCGCCTCAGCCTCCCAAAGTGCTGGGATTACAGGTGTAAACCACTGGGACCAGTGCTACGTTTATTTTTTGGTTGTAACAAATGTAAGATGTTAACATGAGGGGATCCTGGGTGAAATATTTCCATTAATATTATCTTTGGAACTTTTCTGTCAGTCTAAAAATTACTCCAAAACAAAGTTTTAAAAAGAATCCCGAGCCAAGCACGGTGGCCCGTGACCGTAGTCCCTGCTACTCATGAGGCTGAGGCAGGAGGATTGCTCAAGGCAAGGAGCTCCAGGCTGCAGTGAGCTATGACTGCTCCTATGAACAGCCACTGCACTCCGGCCTGGGCAGTGTAGCAAGACCCCATCGCTAATTTTTTTAAGTGCATTAAAACACAGATAAAGGGTTGCCTGTTTTTCGTTTTGGCACAGACTCTGGTATGACTTGACACAGGCACTGGCTGATTCTGCCTTTATTTGAAATTCTGGTTTTTTTCATTGTGGATGTTTTTGCAATTTATTTTGATTTTTTTAAAAATTGCATGAAAATGTTATTCACAGCCAGATGCAGTGGCTCACGCCTGAAATCCCAACACTTTGGGAAGCCAAGGTGGAAGGATAGCTTGAGCCCACAGGAGTTCGAGACCAGCCTGAGCAACATAGCGAGACCCTATCTCTCTCTCTTTTGTATTTTAATGCCTTTTGTGAAAACTGTCAAGAGACCCCATCTCTATAAAAACATAAAAAATGAGCTGGGCGTGGTGGTGCACACCTGTAATCCTAGCTACTTGGAGGGCTGAGGCGGGAGAATCGCTTGAGCCCTGGAGGTGGAGGCTGCAGTGAGCCAAGATCGCGCCACTGCTCTCCACCCTGGGTGACGCAGCAAGACCCTGTGTCCAAAAAACAAAATATTATTCACATTGATCCATAAATGTCGTGGCACCACCACCCGCTAGGCCAGTGCCTCGTTTGCCTCACCCTAATCCCTGCCCTCAATGTCCCCCGTATTTGTGTCCTGAACGGAGGACCACGCAGTCCCAGGCTCCGATCCCCCTTCCTTTACCCGTGGCAACGAGCTCCAGCTGGTCGCTGGGCAGGGACCAGAGGCTTCCGTTCTGGTAGGAGCAGCGGTAGCGTCCAGCCAGACTTCTCTTCATGGCCGGGATGAAGAGGACTGCCTGATCCTGGTACCTGCTGGAACTCAGCTTCTCCAGGCGGTACAGGTCCACGCCCGGAGGTCCCTGGCACCGGAGGGTCACTGGCTTCTCCAGGGGCACCAGGGAGCTGGGCAGAGCCTGGAGGGAGGGCTTGGGGAGCGGTCCTGGAAGAGGAGCAGGGCTGGGTCAGCCTCCCCGCAGACCCCGCCTGGACCCCGCTGCTCCCGCGCTGGCGGATCCCGCAGGAGGGAAGGGGTCTGGGGAAGGACTCACCACTCTGCGCTGGCACACGCCCCAGACACAGCCCTGAGGAAAGAAGAAAGGGACCAGATGCCAGGACTCGCTTTTATGGACATTCCTGCCTGCTGGGCGCGGTGATAAGACATTTGCATGCATATGCTTTACTCTGTCCTAATAATTTCTTCAAAAGACACACAGGAATGTAATTTAAGTGAGAGAAACCGGTCAGAAAAAGCCACATAGTTTATGAGGTCATTTACATGAAATATCCAGAATAGGTAAATCTATAGGAGATGGAGAAGAAAGCAGATCCATGGCTGGGGGTGGTGGGAGAGGAGGGCAAGGCATGGTGGCGTACTGCTCTCTGTGGACTTGTTCGTGTTAGACACGGTGGGCTCGTTCGTGTTAGACACGGTGGACTCGTTCGTGTTAGACACGGTGGGCTCGTTCGTGTTAGACACGGTGGGCTCGTTCGTGTTAGACACGGTGGACTCGTTCGTGTTGTGTTAGACACGGTGGACTCGTTCGTGTTAGACGCGGTGGACTCGTTCGTGTTAGACACGGTGGACTCGTTCGTGTTGTGTTAGACACGGTGGACTCGTTCGTGTTGTGTTAGACACGGTGGACTCGTTCGTGTTAGACACGGTGGGTTCGTTCGTGTTAGACACGGTGGGTTCGTTCGTGTTAGACGCGGTGGGTTCGTTCGTGTTAGACGCGGTGGACTCCTTCGTGTTGTGTTAGACACGGTGGACTCGTTCGTGTTAGACACGGTGGACTCGTTCGTGTTAGACACGGTGGACTCGTTCGTGTTAGACACGGTGGACTCGTTCGTGTTGTGTTAGACACGGTGGACTCGTTCGTGTTGTGTTAGACACGGTGGGCTCGTTCGTGTTGTGTTAGACACGGTGGACTCGTTCGTGTTGTGTTAGACACGGTGGGCTCGTTCGTGTTAGACGCGGTGGGCTCGTTCGTGTTAGACGCGGTGGGCTCGTTCGTGTTGTGTTAGACACGGTGGGCTCGTTCGTGTTGTGTTAGACACGGTGGGCTCGTTTGTGTTGTGTTAGACACGGTGGGCTCGTTCGTGTTAGACATTGCCCATTGACTTCCTCAGTGGATGTGAGGAATGGGACCTGAGACATTGCTGTCCCTTCGTTTCCTCCCTTCAGTCTCCCAATATTAAATAATATCCAAGTACATTACAATAGTATGCAATTGTATAGACAAGTATTGTAAATACTATTGCATATTGTATATTATTGTATTTTATTGTCTATGTAATATATGCGATAAAACCCCACACTAATGGGATGCATTGGGCTCCAAGGATGGAGCAGGATGGAGCCTCAGCGTGTAAGTCAGGACGTCTCAGCATGTGCTGGCCATGGGTTTCCCGGTATTTACAACATTTGCTTGAATCAGTATTCCATGATTACATGATAGGATATAATATATATAATAATCGTTTCAAATAGCCTGAAGGAGGATGGGGAAAGTTCCCAACACAGAAAGGATGCATGTTTGAGAAGATGGGTGTGCTACTTACCCTGATCTGATTACTATATGTATATACACATATAGTGCATATATGTAAACCTACATCTATACATACATGTGTATGTACATATACACGTGTGTACATACACACGTGTATATGTATGTATATGTATATATGTATGCATGTGTGTGTGTGTGTGTGTGTGTGTGTATACATATGTATACAAATACATGTACATAAGCGATCCCCTCCTGGAATTGCTTGAGCCCAGGAGGTCAAGTCTGCTGTGAGGTAAGATTGCACCACTGGCCGGGCACGGTGGCTCATGCCTATAATCCCAGCACTTTGGGAGGCCAGGGTGGGCGGATCACAAGGTCAGGAGTTCAAGACCAGCCTGGTCAACATGGTGAAACACCATCTCTACTAAAAATACCAGAAATTAGCTGGGCATGGTGGCACGTGCCTGTAATCCTAGCTACTGGGGAGGCTGAGTCAGGAGAATCACTTGAACCCGGGAGGCGGAGGTTGCAGTGAGCCAAGATCACGCCACTACACTCCAGCCTGGGCAACAGAGCAAGACTCCATCTCGAGGAAAAAAAAAAATGATATTGCCCCATTGCACTCCAGACTGACAACAGAGCAAGACCCTGTCTCAGAAAACGAAGAGGAGGAGGAAAAAAAAAGTACTAATTATCTGAAATTCCAATTTAACCAGGCATCCAGTGTTTTATCTGGTAACCCTCATTCTTACACACACACACACACACACACACACACAAAGGCGGGATAGTTGTCATTCCCACTGTAAACATAAGGAAACTGGGCAGAGGCCAAGCAACCTTGTGTAGCTCACATAGCAAGAAGTGGGTGAACCCAGCTCATGTCTTGACTCTGAGCTCAGAGAGTGACAACTTGTCACCAGCGCCCCCATAGCCACCACCCTTTGTCCACCCCAGGCTCCCTCTGCACCCCAACGCAAGCTCCGGCCGCTTCTCTGTCCCCCTCCTCCTGCCGCATCACAGCCCACCTCAGCCTCTTTGTAGGTTTCCATGCGACGCTGTACCATGGCTGGGAGTCTTCCAGGCGCCGTGCTGAGCGCCTTCTGTGCATGGACTCCAAGTCGCCATAATCGTACGGGTTACCCACCATTATCAGTCCCCTCTTATACATCAGGCTAGTGAGACAGTATCTTATCCACAGTCCTACAGCTGGCAGGAGTAGATTCAAACCCTAGCAGCACCAATTAGTGGTAAAGAGTGTGGACTTGGGAACTTACAGGAGTAGAGAGCACAGTGGTGGTTACCGGGGCGGTGGGGTAAGGTTTGGGGAGATGTTGGTCAGAGGAGGACAGTTTCAGTTGGACAAGAGGAGTATGTCTTGGAGATCTACTGCACATCATGGTGACTGTAGTTAATAACAACATATTGTACACTTGCATATCACCGATAGTAGATTTTAAATGTTCTCACCGGCCGGGCGCGCTGGCTCACACCTGTAATCCCATTTTGGGAGGCCAAGGTGGGCGGATCACCTGAAGTCAGGAGTTCGAGAGCAGCCTGACCAACATGGTGAAACCCTGTCTCTACTAAAAATACAAAAATTAGCGGGGCGTAGTGGCAGGAGCCTGTAATCCCAGCTACTTGGGAGGCTGAGGCAGGAGAATCGCTTGAACCTGGGAGGTGGAGGTTGCAGTGAGCCAACGTCATGCCACTGCGCTCCAGTCTGGGCAACAGAGTGAGACTCCATGTCAAAAAATAAAAATAAATAAAAATAAATGAGCGTGGAATACTACTCAGCCATTAAAAGGAGTGAAATAATGTCTTTTGGCCAGGCACAGTGGCTCACATCTGTAATGCCAGCACTCTGGGAGGCCGAGGTGGGTGGATCACGAGGTCAAGAGATCAAGACCATCCTGCCCAACATGGTGAAACCCCATCTCTACTAAAAATACAAAAATTAGCCGGGCATGGTGGCGGGTGCCTGTAGTCCCAGCTACTCGGGAGGCTGAGGCAGGAGAATCACTTAAACCCGGGAGGTGGAGTTTGCAGTAAGCCGAGATCACACCACTGCACTCCAGCCTTGGTGAGAGAGCGAGATTCCGTCTTTAAAAAAAAAAAAAAAAAGTCTTTTGCAGCAACTTGGATGGAGCTGGAAGGCATTATTCTAAGTAAAGTAATACAGGAGTGGAAAACAAAAATCTGTATATTCTCACTTATAAGTGAGAGCTAAGCTGTGGGTATGCAAAGGCATGCAGAGTGATGTAATGGACTTCAGAGACTCAGAAGGGAAGGGCAGAAGTGGGGCAGGGATGAAAAACTACACATTAGGTACAAGGTACACTAGTCAGGTGACAGGTGCACTAAAATCTCAGAATTCACCAGAATATAATTCATCCATGTAACCAAGAACCACTTGTATCCCAAAAGCTACTGAAGCAACAAGCCAGATGCAGTAACCTGTACAGGCCACACCTGTAACCCCAACACTTTGGGAGGCCGAGGTGGGTGGATCGCTTGAGCCCAGGAGTTCAAGACCAGCCTGGGCAACATAGCGGACCCCCGTAACTAAAAAAATTACAAAAACAAGCCAGGCATGATGGTGTACAACTGTAGTTCCAGATACTCAGGAGGCTGATGGGGAGGCACTGGTTGAGCCTGGGAGGTTGAGGCTGCAGTGAGCCATGATCATGCCACTGCCCTCCTGCCTGGGTGACAGAAGTGAGGCCCTATCTCAAATAAAATTAAATAAATAAAAGTTAAAACAGGCTGGGTGCGGTGGCTCACGCCTGTAATCCCAGCACTTTGGGAGGCCGAGGCGGGTGGAACCTGAAGTAAGGAGCTTGAGACCAGCCTGGCCAACATGGTGAAACCCCGCCCCTACTAAAAATACAATAATTAGCCAGACCTGGTGGCAGATGCCTGTAATCCCAACTATTCGGGAGGCTGAGGCAGGAGAATCACTTGGACCCGGGAGGCAGAGTTTGCAGTGAGCTGAGATCATGCCATTGCATTCCAGCCTGAGCGACCGACTGAGCGAGACTCCATCTCAAAAAACAAACAAAAAGAAAAAAAGAATACATCCATGGATGGATAATGAATGAGAGGTTGTTTATATTCACAGTTAACCCTCTCATCTCCAGTAATGCAACCATCTTCTTCCTGCTTAGCCTTTTGGAGATGCTGTCCCTTTAGTGGTCAAATTCTGAAGAAATCAGGAAATAATGCATTCGACATGCCCAGCACAAGTGAAGATCAGGCAGCAGAAATGCATTCGACCTGCCACCCATCCATCAGGAGACTATTTACTCCACTACTGTAGGGGATACTGACAAATTAAATCCATACCTAGTCCAGATATCAATTCCACAATTTTTTTTTTTTTTTTTTTGAGACGGAGTTTCGCTCTTGTTGCCCAGGCCAGAGTGCAATGGTGTGATCTTGGCTCACCGCAACCTCCACCTCCCAGGTTCAAGCGATTCTCCTGCCTTAGCCTCCAGAGTAGCTGGGATTACAGGCATGTGCCACCACACCCGGCTAATTTTGTATTTTTAGTAGAGATGGGGTTTCTCCATGTTGGTCAGGCTGGTCTCAAACTCCCGACCTCAGATGGCCCACCCGCCTCGGCCTCCCAAAGTGTGTAAGCCATGGCACTCAGCCTTTTTTTTTTTTTTTTTTTTTTTTTTTGAGATGGAGGCTCTCTCTGTTGCCCAGGCTGGAGTGCAATGCCTGACCTCAGCTCACTGCAACTTCTGCCTCCCAGTTTCAAGCAATTCTCCCACCTCAGCCTCCCACGTAGCTGGGATTACAAGCACCCGCCATCACGCCCGGCTAATTTTTGTAGAGATGGGGTTTCACCATGTTGACCAGGCTGGTCTTGAACTCCTGACCTCAGGTGATCCACCCACCTCGGCCTCCCAAGGTTGAGATTACAGGCGTGAGCCACTGTGCCTGGCCCACATTTTTTAAAAAAGGGGCAACTGCAGTGTAGTAGAACAAAGTTGTGACCAATGCTAGGATACTCTGTTCATTTCCTGACCCAGCCATGAATACACTGGAATAACTCATGCAAAATGCCAGCTCGCTGGCCCCCCGTTTCCCCACCCAACAAATGAAGGGGCTCTTACAGGTTCCTTTTTGTCCTGAAATTCATCACCAATGCAAATTTCTTAAAAATCCTTTGTCTGGCAGTCCATGCCTGTCCTTCAGCATTTCCCAGATCTGACCCTCAGGACTCACCAAGACAGAAGAGGGCGGTCGGGGATGGAGACATGGTTCCTCAGCCCTGTCCTGAGCTCTGTGGCCAGGGAGGGAAGTGGTGGGAGCCTGGGGCACAGGCTCAGGATGTGATGAGGATGAAGAATGCTCTCCTCCCTTCCTCCACCAGCCCCGGCCTTTCCTAATTGAGACTCATCGAGCCGTAGCCGGCTCCTCAGTACAGTGACTTGCACACAAGCTCCAAGGAGCCGCGCTTATCTCCTCTGGCCAGCCTGGCGTTGCACCGTTTGTCCGCCTGCTGGGGCCTGGTCTGTGTTCCCGTGCTCCCATAAACTCCCTGATGTCACTAGGAAAATACGCATCAAAACCACAGTGAGATATGACTTCACACCTTCTGGAATGGCTGTATTTTTTTTTTTTCTTTTGAGACAAAGTCTCGTTCTTTTTGCCCAGGTTGGAGTGCAGTGGCGCCATCTCGGCCCACTACAACCTCCACCTCCCAGGTTCAAGCGATTCTCCTGCCTCAGCCTCCCAAGTGGCTGGGATTATAGGTATGTACCACACCAGGCTAATTTTTGTATTTTTAGTAGAGATGGGGTTTCACTGTGTTGGCCAGGCTGGTCTTGAACTCCTGACCTCAGTTGATCCACCTGCCTCGGTCTCCCAAAGTGCTGGGATTACAGGCATGAGCCACTGCACCCGACCGGCTATAATTTTTTTTAATGGAAAACAGCAGATATTGGTGAGTATGCAGAGAAATTGAACTGCGCGTGCATTGCTGGCAGGGACGTAACATGGCGCCCCTGCTGTGGAAAACAGTTCCAGCAGCTCCTCCAGAAGTTAAACGTGGGATTGCCATAAAATCCAGCAATTCCACTTCGGGGTACACACCTAAAAGAACTGAAAACAGGGTCTCTAACATATTTGTACACAGTGTTCATAGCAGCTTTATTCACAATAGCCAAAAGGTGAAACCACCCACATGTCCATCAACAACAATGGATAAACAACATGTGGTATATACACACAAGGTAATATCAACCAGCCTTAACTAAAAGAATAAAAATCAGCCAGGCACAGTGGCTCACGCCTGTAATCCCAGCACTTTGGGAGGCCGAGGCGGGCGGATCACCTGAGGTCAGGAGTCCGAGACCAGCCTGGTTAACATGGTGAAACCCCATCTCTACTAAAAATACAAAAATTAGCTGGGCGTTAAATTAGCCGGGCATGGTGGCAGGTGCCTGTAATCCCAGCTACTTGGGAGACGGAGGCATGAGAATCGCTTGAACCTGGGAGGCAGAGATTGCGGTAAGCCGAGATCGCACCACTGCACTCCAGCCTGGGCGGCAGAGTGAGACTGTCTCAAAAATAAAAATAAGGCCGGGCGTGGTGGCCCATGCCTGTAATCCTAGTACTTTAGGAGGCTGAGGCAGGCAGATTGCCTGAGCTCAGCAGTTCAAGACCAGCCTGGGCAACACAGTAAAACCCCCAAAAAATACAAAAAAAAAATAGCCGGGCATGGCGGCAGGCACCTGTAGTCCCAGCTACTCCGGAGGCTGAGACAGGAGAATGGCTTGAACCCGGGACGCGGAAGTTGCGGTGAGCCGAGATCGCGCCATTGCACTCCAGCCTGGGTGACAGAGCGAGATTCTGTCTCCAAAAAATAAAAAATATTATAAAAGAATAAATTCAGATACATGCTACAACGTGATGGACCTTGAAGACATTATGCTAAAGGAAATATTCCGGACTTGACAGATAAATACTGCATTGTGCCGCTTATCTGAGGTATCGAGAGGAGTCAAATTCATAGAGACAGGGATTAGAATGGTGGTTGCCAAGGCCTGGGAAAAGTGGGGAGTTACTATTTAATAGGGAGCGCTTAGGTTGAAGATGATGACAAAGTCTGGGGGATCCATAGTGGTGATGGTTACACAACACTGTAAATGTATTTATATTTAATGCCATTGACTGTTTTTTGTTTTTTGGTTTTTTGAGACGGAGTCTCACTCTGTCGCCGAGGCTGGAGTGCAGTGGCGCGATCTTGGCTCACCGCAACCTCCGCCTCCCAGGTTCAAGCGATTCTCCTGCCTCAGCCTCCTGAGTAGCTGGGACTACAGGTGCGTGCCACCATGCCTAGTTGATTTTTTGTATTTTTAGTAGAGACGGGGTTTCACCGTGTTAGCCAGGATGGTCTCGATCTCCTGACCTTGTGATTTGGCCTCCCAAAGTGCTGGGAATACAGGCATGAGCCACCGCGCCCGGCCAGTGCCGTTGACTTGTATGTGCACTTACAGGTGGTTAAAATGAGAACTATCAGGGTGTTGATATCTAAAAACCTCCCTGCCATCATCTTCCCTACATCTCTCATTCAGTGACCATGGTTGAATGCCTGCCACCTTTCAAATATTATGTCAGGCACTCAGTATTGGCAGTTTTATCCATTATAAATGCTTTAAGCTGCATAGAATTTTAAACGTGTTAATAAAAGTAGTTATAAATCTTTAATACATAAGCTGGCTTTAAAATTATTGGTAAAATAAGATTAGAAATGTCTTAAGAATTGTTGGCGTTTTTGTTTGCACTTATTGAACGAGTGGTTTCATGCTTATCCCTGCAGAATACTATGAGATTTGTCATAAGGGTTATAAAACTATAAACCCGGCTGGGCGTGGTGGCTCACGCCTGTAATCCCAACACTCTGGGAGGCCGAGGCAGGCAGATCACCTGAGGTCGGGAGTTTGAGACCAGCCTGACCAACATGGAGAAACGCCATCTCTACTAAAAATACAAAATTAGCTGGGTGTGGTGGCGCATGCCTGTAATCCCAGATACTCAGGAGGCTGAGGCAGGAGAATCGCTTGAACCCGGGAGGCAGAAGTTGCAGTGAGCCGAGATTGCGCCACTGCACTCCAGCCTGGGCAACAAGAGTGAAACTCCATCTAAAATAAATAAAAATAAAACATTTGTTTTTTGTAGAGTTGGGGTTTCACTATGTTGCCCAGGCTGGTCTTGAACTCCTCCTGGGCTCAAGCAATCCACCGACCTCAGCCTCCCAAAGTGCTGGGATTACAAGTGTGAGCCACTGTGCCTGGCCCTATTGGGTCCTTTTAAAAGATACATAAAAAATCAAATGCAACAGTGAAGTCAATCACCCGATGGCAGAAATTGGGGTGCTCCTGGCATGTGGTCGGTCGAAGCCAAGGACACTGCTCAGCATTCTGCAGTGCACAGGACGGCCCCGCCCAGGCGGAGAATGATCCGGTGACACATATAGGTGGGAAGGATGCACGAATGATGGCGTTTAGGAAGAATATTATCACTTCTTTCCCGTAAGAGCAACTTAGAGCAAGAAAATGGTATTATTCTTAGGGCCTTCTCTCTTATGGAGGCTCCAAGCCAGGGTTGCCATGGCAGAAGATGCTGGGCTTGCTTTTTCCTTGAGAGAACTGTACTCAAGATGATGTAACTGTCACCCCGGGTGCCACTTGGGTGCTTTGGAGAAGCGCTCAGACGCGACACGCCGTGACGACTCCGCGGCAGGCAGCCGGACCTGTCCTCTGGCGTGCGGTTCACGGGCTGTGTTTATCCCCCTGGTTCCTTCACAGCCACCTTGGGAAATACGTTGCCTCTGAATCACGCCAGGCAGGCTCTCACTGTGTGTGCTGCGGGGCTGGAAATCAGGGTGACACTCCGCTACCGAACAGCCTGACTAGGAAGCCAGAAAGACGCTGCCGGCTTTAGTTTGTCCTTTGACTTTCCTTGATATGAATGAAGATAGAGCACTTCCACACTGCACAACAGGAAAAGCCCAGAACGCTTCCTGGAGATAGCGAGGGGGTGATGCAGCGGACAGCTATGGCTGATGACCCCCTCACCTCTGACTCCCCCTCCCTCCCTGCTTTCTGAACGCACATCCATCACCAACCATAGGTTCCTGTTTGGGGTTTGCTGGCTGGAAAAAAAAAAAAAAAAAAAAGGAAAGCTGGCTTTCTAGTAAAAACCACTTCCTTTGCTCATTTATCAAACTCAAACGCTAGGAGGGCCACCTAACATCCTCCGTCCCACGCAATGGGGTGTTTCTGGAGCACTCCGGTTTATCAGGGACCCTGTCAGTTGCCATCGCACATGTATATGGGGCCAGCCCCTGTGCCACCGAAGAGGGGGGATATTGAAAACATGTTACAGCCAGGAGCGGTGCCCCCTTGGTTCAAGCAGTTCTTCTGCCTCAGCCTCCCTAATAGCTGGGATTACAGGCGTGCACCATCACGCCTGGCCACTGTTATGTAGTTTTTACCACAATTTAAAAAAGGAAAGAGTGCCTGGGTGAGTCCTACGCACCTATTCGGAGAACCAAAGGCTTTGAGGTTATCCTCGGCCCACCCATCTGATGGGAGTGTTTCTCAAACTTGCTTTTCCGTGATCTCCCAGTAAGAAATACCTACTACACACACACAGTCTCCGGTCGGCATGCTTAGGGTAGTCTTCCAATTCCCCCTCCTGGTATTTACACCCTGGAGTGGTCCGCTCCTCTTGGGCTGAACCTGTAACTTGCTCCCAAGCAAGAGCACACAGCAAGCTCACGCACGTGGTTGTTGGTGTGATTCTGTTTCTCCAGATTGTCTCCATTCCTCCCTGGCTTCTCCACAGGGCCGCTCACCATGGCAGCCGGCTCCATCACCACCAGCCAGCGAGAGGGCAAGACAAGAGGGCTGACGAGGGACGCTACCATCACAGAGGTCAGTTTTGTAACCTAACCACAAGACTAACCTACTGTCACTTCTGCCCTATCCTACTGCTAGAAGCCAGTCGCTACATCTCCCCCACACTCAAAGGGAGGTGGTCGCACCGTGGGGTCCACTGGAAGTTGCCTACCAGACTCAGGTCATCCCAAACACACCCTCTAGCCATTTGGTGTGGCATCGGAAAGAAAACTAAGGCCAGGTACGGTGGCTCATGCCTGTAATCCCAACAATTTGGGAGGCCATGGCGGAAGGGTCACTTGAGCCCAGGAGTTTGAGACCAGCCTGGGCAACATAGCAAATGTTATGTTGCCACCTCTACAAATAATTAGCCAAGTGTGGTGGCATGCACCTGTAGTCCCAGATACTCAGGAGGCTGAGGCAGGAGAATCACAGGTCGAGGTTGTAGTGAGCTGTGACGGCACTGCACTCCAGCCTTGGCAACACAGTAAGACCTCGTCTCTAAAAAAGCAAAAAGGGCTGGGTGCACTGGCTCACACCTATAATCCCAGCACTTTGGGAGGCCAAGACGGGTGGATCACCTGAGGTCAGGAGTTCAAGATAAGCCTGGCCAACATGGTGATACCGTCTTTAATTAGCCAGGTGTGGTGGTGGGCGCCTGTAATCCCAGCTACTCGGGAGGCTGAGGCATGAGAATCGCTTGAACATGGGAGACACAGGTTGCAGTGAGCTGAGATCATGCCATTGCACTCCAGCCTGGGCAACAGAGCGAGACTAGGTGGCTGTTCTGTGTACTGTGGGATATTGAGTAGCATCCCTGGCCTCCCCAGTATCTCAAATATGAAAACATGTTTTCTATCTCGATTACTGAGCTTTTCGGTGCCTCCTTCGGTTCTGCACCTAAGCTAAGAGCCCCTTCATCTCACCCTGATCTCTATCCAGTTTCTAACACAGCAGTCTTGTAAGATGCCCGGACTTAAACGGTTATTTCCTGTGAAACAGGTGAAAGGGGCTTTCATCTCTAAAAAGTCGGAACTTTTTTTTTTTTTTGAGACGGAATCTTGCTCTGTCACCCAGGCTGGAGGGCAGTGGCATGATCTCGGCTCACTGCAATCTCCGCCTCCCAGCTTCACACCATTCTCCTGCCTCAGCCTCCCGAGTAGCTGGGACTACAGGCGCCCACCACCATGCCCAGCTAATTTTTTGTATTTTTTTAGTAGAAACAGGGTTTCATTGTGTTAGCCAGGATGGTCTCGATCTCCTGACCTCGTGATCCACCGCGCCCGGCCAAGTCTGAACTTTTGCATGGCCTGTTGCCCTGGTGATAAACTGATGCCTTGTTTCCTAAAAGGAATAAAGCCATGAGTTGCCTTTGTTCAGCTCATGGGCATTCACCCATGCACAGAGGAAAAATAAAATCTACGACTCGGGTACATTTTCTTCTTTTTTTTTTCTTTTAAATGAGCAAGTTTGAGAGTCTGCAGTTTGGACTACCATGAGAATTGATAGGAAGGTGGGAGTCCCAGGCAATCCCAGGTCCTGTAGCAGCAGCTGGTGGGGTTCCCACTCCATGCCGTGCAGAGCCTGAACTCAGGATGACACCTGCACCTGCTCTCTGGCTGGGCTCTGGCACAGGAAGCCCTCAGCAAACACCCCCGGCACAGCCATGCCATAGCCAGACAACAGCTCGCTGTACCACACCATCATGGGAGACAGCAGTTATTCTGAGCATCTCACTGCTGAAGAAACCAAGGCTCAGAGAGGACCATGCATGCACAAGGTCCCACAGGGACCCAAGAATCCACCAAGTGTCAGACAACTTGCCCATGCTCTTCACGGAGCACCTTGGAACCCTCCCCGACAGGCACCGCTGGCTCTCCTGACGTGGCCTGCAAGTGCACGGAGCCCCTTCCTCCTCGGCCATTCCCAGTTTAGATTCCCAGGGGAAGCATCAGATGGCCCCTCTCCCCTGCTGGCAGCAGAGCAGACGGAACCAGCCAGAGCCCAGGGCAGTGCTCACCTGCAGGCCAGTCCACTGCGGCCAGCACCGCCCCCTAGAACCTACTGCGGGCATGGCGGCCGCCAGTCCTGGGTCTCCCGGCTCAGGTAGTGCCAGGAAGCTGCGGGCATGGCGGACAGCTGTCCTCGGTCTGGAGGCGCCATCCTGGCTTTCAAATCTGCTCCAGAGGTTATCTGGGGAGGGGCTGCTCCCTCACAGAGGGAGCCTCTAAGCCCACCAGGCGGGCACTTTCAGCCCAAAGCCTCCGGGCCACCTCCTCATCCTCAGCCTCGGGGGCCGGGGCCTTCTGTTTGAGTCCATCGAAGTACTTTCCGGAAACATCCGCCAGTTCCTCCGCCACGGCCAGGTATGTGCTGGGCTGGGCGGCCAGCTCGGGGCTCTTGACCAGCAGCCAGAAGATGGGCCCTGCAATCAGCCCACAGGGCATTTAGTCCACACTCGCTCAGAGAGAAGGAAGGAAGCCCCGCTCCCCGGTCAGGGAGCTCCGGGTCCCTGGAGTCCCACAGAGCCCTCCTCTAGCCCTTTCCCCTTGGCTGCCTCCATCTGCAGTTCCCTTCCCTGGCACTGCCCAGGCAAATCCCACCAGACCAGGGATCAGACCAAAAGCTGCCTCCCCCAAGGAGCCTTCCTGGCTTTGTCCAGGAAAATGGAAGCTCTCTTCCTCTTGGTCAGCCCCAGTCCTCACCCTACCCCATTTCTCCTTTAATAACATCTTATTAAATGCACCTGGCACCAGCCTCAGGTTAAGGATCTTTTTTTGGCCAGGCGAGGTGGCTCAGGCCTGTAATCCCAGCACTTTGGGAGGCCGAGGCGGGCGGATTACCTGGGGTCGGGAGTTCCAGACCAGCCTGGCCAACATGGTGAAACCCCATTTCTACTAAAAATACAAAAATTAACTGGGTGTGGTGGCGGGTGCCTGTAATCCCAGCTGCTCGGGAGGCTGGGGCAGGAGAATCCCTTGAACCTGGGAGGCGGAGGTTGCAGTGAGCTAAGATCACACCATTGCACTCCAGCCTGGGTGACAATAGCAAGACTTCGTCTCAAAAAAAAAAAAAAAAAAGGGCTGGGCGTGGTGACTCACGCCTGTAATCCCAGCACTTTGGGAGGCTGAGGCAGGTGGATCACCTGAGGTCAGGAGTTCAAGACCAGCCTGGCCAACGTGTGAAACCCTGTCTCAACTAAAAATAAAAACTTAGCTGGGTGTGGTGGTGGGCGCCTGCAATCTCAGCTACTTTGGGAGGCTGAGACAGGAGAATCACTTGAACCGAGGAGGCAGAGGTTGGAGTGAGCCAAGATTGTGCCACTGCACTCCAGCCTGGGTGACGAGCAAAACTCCGTCTCAAAAAAAAAAAGACATTTATTTATTTATTTATTGAGACCTGGTGTCTTGCTCTGTCACCCAGGCTGGAGTGCAGTGGTGTGATCTCAGCTCACTGCAACCTCTGCCTCCCGGGTTCAAGCGATTCTCCTGCCTCAGCCTCCTGAGTAGCTGGGACTACAGGTGCACACCACCACACCTGGCTAATTTTTGTATTTTTAGTAGAGACGGGGTTTCACCATGGTGGCCAGGCTGGTCTCGAACTCCTGACCTGAGGTAATCCGCCCACCACAGCCTCCCAAAGTGCTGGGATTACAGGCGTGGCTATTAGCCTCGCCAAGTTAAGATTCTTGATGCCAACCAATCACCCACTCCATGTTTTTCAGGATTATAAACACTAGTCATAAAGCATGAACTGCCTGGGGGTGGTGGCTCACACCTGTAATCCCAGCACTTTGGGAGGCAGTTGGATCACCTGAGGTCAGGAGTTTGAGACTAGCCTGACCAATATGGTGAAACCCCACCTCTAGCTGGGTGTGGTGGTGTGCACCTGTAATCCCAGCTACTTGGAGACAGGAGAATCGCTTGAACCTGGGAGGTGGAAGTTGCAGTGAGTGGAGATCATGCCATTGTACTCCAGCCTGGGCGACAGAGCAAGACTTCATCTCAAAAATAAGTAAGTAAAGCTCCAACTGTTTGTTCCACCTATTCTCTGGGCGGGGTCCTGTGCTGGCCCTTTCAAGGAAGGTCTCGTATAACCCCCCCAGTGACTGTGAGGTGAGTCCTATTAAGGCCTGCACTCTGCAGATGAAGAAACAGGCTCAGAGGGGTAACAGCTCTTCCCCAGGAGGTGCAGCTGGTTTGGGGTGAAGCTGGAGTTACCCTGAGTACAGCCTGACTCCAGGCGTCAGCTCCACGGCCTCTTCCTCTGAGACACGGTTTTCTCATCCGCCAGCAGGGCTCTGCCTGCTTCCCGGGGCTGTTAGAGGCTGGCAGGCCAGGTCAACGGAGGAAAGGGACCTGTGCTCTGTGCCTCAGAAGACGTAGGCGAGGAGCAGGCATGAGGCCTCAGGGACGGTCTCTGAGGGAGGGTCCTGGGCCCTGGGCTGAGAAAGCAGGGGTGGAGGGCTCCACGTGGAGACCCCAGGCTGGGAGGGGACTCACCGAGTGTGGTGCTGGAGAAGGTGGAGCCATGGATGCCCGTGTGTCTGCCCAGCTCTGTCCTGGCCACGCCGGGGTGCAGGGCGTTGACAGTCACACCAGAGCCTGGGGAAGAAAGAAAGAGAAGACTGAGGGAGGGGTCCAGCCTCACCTGGGAGGCTGTGGCAGCCCACACCCAGCTGTGGGGCTTCCGGGCACCAGGCTGCTTCCTGCACTCAAACCCCATCGTCCCTCTTGCTCTGGAATCTTAGTGAAGTGGTCTTATCTTGCGGAGCGGCTCTGCCACATGGCTGCTGGGAGCCGAGCTTTCCTGGAGGGCTTCATAAACCCAGAACGCTGAGCTTACCCCGGGAGCCTGCATCGGTGCGTGGCGGTGGGACCTAAGATACTGTAACTCTGACCAGCTCCCAGTGGGGCTGGCACCGCTGGTCCACAGACCGTCTTTCAGAAGCAAAGGCCTAGCACAGATTTCTCAATCTCAGCACTGTGGATGCTGTGGGTTGGGAGGAGTGAGGGGCCATCCCGTGCGCTGTAGGACATTGAGAGCATCTGGGCCTTTACCCTCCAGATGCCCAGAGCAATCTCTCCCCAAGCCAGCTGTGATCACTGTGTTTCCAGGCATTGACAACTGCGGGTCAAAACTGCCCCTGGTTGAGACTCACTGGCTGGAGCCAAAAGGCTGAGCTGCCTGCCCAACAGCAGCAGGGAAGGACATCTGATCCAGGCAGACTAGACCACCTGGGATGAACAGACAATCCTCAGAAGAACGATCGATTAGTGATGTCTGCTTCAGGCACCAGAAGCGGGCAGCGTGGTCCACATGCTCTACTTTTGCTGACTCTGTTCTGGATCCACCGTTTGGCCTCCCATCAGCCTAGGATCATGGAAAGGCCGCTCTAGGCTCAGAGTAAAGCAAGAGGGAGGCCGAGCCTAGCGCCCCCGTACCTTGCAGCCGCCGGCTCAGCTCCTTGGTGAAGAGGACGATGGCGAGCTTGCTCTGGCAGTAGGCGGCTTTGGTGTTATACTTCCTCGTCTGCCAGTTCAAGTCGTCAAAGTCTATGTGCCCAGCAACATGGGCCAGGGACGAGAGGTTGATGATCCGCGAAGGGGCTGAGGCTTTCAGCTTGTCCAGCAGCAAGTTTGTCAAGAGAAAGTGACCTGGATTAAGGATGATGAAAAGGTCACTTTTGACTCACACCTAAAATCCCAGCACTTTGGGAGGACGACGGGGGAGGATCGCTTGAACCCATGGTGCAGCCCCTGCCCAGGCCTCACCCAGGTGGTTAACGCCAAACTGCATCTCGAAGCCGTCCTCGGTGGTCCAGTGGGGGCACCGCATCACACCCGCGTTGTTGATTAGAATGTCCACTCGCTCCTCCTCTGGAAGAGAGGGGTGGAGGAGGAGACATCCCGGTGAGGACAGACCCCAGCCTGATGCACCAGCAGAAACACTCCTGTGCTCCCACAACCTGTGAATGTGGCCTGTGCCGGAAACAGGGTCTGTGCCGAAGTGGCCATGTCAGGATGCGGTCATTAGGGTGAGCCCTAATCCAATGACTGGTGTCCTTATAGGAAGGGAAAACAGAGACAGAGACACATGGGGAGAAGGCCATGTGTGGACAGAGGCAAAGACCGGAGAGGCACAGCTCCAAGGTGAGGGTGGGCCGCCCCCGCTGGAAGTGGAAGAGGCTGGGAGGATTATGGCCCGTCTCACAGGTCACAGCCACAGGGACACCGCGATTCAGACTGCCGGCTTCCGGAACCGTGAGGGAATGCACGTCTGAGGGTGTAAGCCACTGGGTTTGCAGTACATTGTTACAGCAGCTCCAGGACACTCACACGCCCTCCGCACCTCCATCTAAGCCTTGGGACTCCTTCCTGCCGGAGCCCCGAGGCCAAAAACGGGAGGTTACCGGTGGGAGCCCCGGCACCGCAGGCGTGGTTTCATTCCCAAACCTGCCACCTCACTCATACAAGCAACCAAAGGACACACAGATGGAGACTGCAGCCTCAGTTTCCTCAGCTGTAAAATGCGCTGAACCACAGGGCCTTCCTCCCTGTACCACTCAGCTCGGGTTCCGTAACAAAGTGCCACAGACAGGTGGTTTAAAACCTCACAGACCTGGCCGGGCACAGTGGCTCACGCCTGTAATCCCAGCACTTTGGGAGGCCGAGGTGGGCAGATCACCTGAGGTCAGGAGTTTGAGACCAGCCTGGCCAACATGGAGAAACCGCGTCTTTACTAAAAATACAAAATTAGCCAGGCGTGGTGGCATGCACCTGTAATCCCAGCTACTCAGGAGGCTGAGGCGGGAAAATCGCTTGAAACCAGGAGGCAGAGGGTGCAGTGAGCCGAGATCGCATCATTACACTCCATCCTGGGCAATAAAAGCAAAACTCCATCTCAAAAAAAAAAAAAAAAATCACAGTCCCAGAGGCTGGAAGTCCCAGATCAAGGTGTGGGCAGGGCTGGTTCCCTCTCAGGGCCCTCAGGGAGGATCCGCTCTGGTCTCTCTCCTTGGCTCACAGGTGACCATCTCCTCTCTCCCTCTTCCCTTCCTCTTCCCTTTGGAGCTGTCTCTTTTTTTTTTTTCATTTTTCCTTTTTTAATTTTAGATTTTTCAGACATGGTCTCACTATGTTGCCCAGGCTGGTCTCAAACTCTTGAACTCAAGCAATCCTCCTGCTTTGGCCTCCCAGAGTGCTGCAATTTCACTGCCCCCAGCCTATTTTTTTTTTTTTGGGGGGGGGAGATGGAGTTTCACTCTTGTCACCCAGGCTGGAGTGCAATGGTGCGATCTTGGCTCACTGCAACCTCTGCCTCCCAGGTTCAAACAATTCTCCTGCCTCAGCCTCCCAAGTAGCTGGACTACAGGCATCCACCACCACACCGGGTTAATTTTTTGTATCTTTAGTAGAGACGGGGCTTCACCATGTTGGCCAGGCTAGTCTCACACTCCTGACCTCGTGATCCACCTACCTCAGCCTCCCAAAGTGCTGGGACTGCAGGCGTGAGCCACCACACTCAGTCTACTTGGCCTATTTTTTATATTTCTTTGAGACAGGGTCTCCCTCTGACACCTGGGCTGGAGTACAGTGGCGCAATCACTGCTCACTGCAGCCTCAACCTCCCAGGCTCAAGCAGTCTTCTTGCTCAGCCTCCCAAGTAGCTGGGGCCACAGGCATGCGCCACCATGCCCAGCTAGCACGTCTGTTTCTGTGCGCAAATCTCCCCTTTTCATAAGGACACCAGTCACTGGATTAGGGCCCACCCTAATGACCTCATTTTCACTTCAGGACCTCTGTAAACACCCACCTCTAAATGAAGTCACATGCTGAGGGATGGGGGTTCAGGATCCCAACCTATCCTTGGGGGTGGAGGACACAATGGAATTCATAATGCTCCCGAAGTGGTTTTCGGCGGGGATCGTGAATTAGGTGTCCAGCGCGTAACACACAGACACCATCTGGTTCTCTGTGTGAGAAGGAGGGGGTTGCAGCACACCCGTCATGAATACCAGCTCTGGAGCAGGACAGACAGGTTCAAAGCCTGGCTCCACCCCGACCAGCTGCATGATCCTGGCCAAGTCACATCACTTCTCTGTGACTCAGTTTACTCCTTGTAAAAAAAAAAAAAAAAAAAGGATAATAACATCACCTGCCTGGTACAACTGTATACTTACTCATTCAGTAAGTATTTTCTAAGCACCTATTACTGGGCACTGGAAATACAGGGTGGACAGCACAGCCGAGGCCCCGTCCGTGTGGACCGGACATTCCAGTGCAGCTGAGAGCCACTTCCACTCGTGAGAGAATCTACCCGTGACAGAGCTGCGTGGAAGCTGACAGGAGGCCCCTCTCAGGAGGTGACGCAGAAACTGGGACCGGGAAAATGAGGCAGGGCCCACGTGCGGAGACCCAGGGAAGGGGGATGCAGGCAGCAGGCGCAGCACGGGTAAGGCCCAAAGGCGGGACAGGGAGACTCCACTCACAGCTGGGCGCCCAGGAGTGCCGCCAGCTTCTGGTGTTTTGTTTTGGTTTTTTTTCTTTTTTTTTTTGAGATGAAGTCTCACTCTGCCACCCAGGCTGGAGTGCAGTGGTGTGATCTTGGCCCATGGCCCACTGCAACCTCTACCGCCTGGGTTCAGGCGATTCTGCTGCCTCAGCCTCCCGAGTACTGGGATTACAGGTGCCCGCCACCGCACCCTGCTAATTTTTGCATTTTTAGTAGAGACGGGGTTTCACCATCTTGGTCAGGCTGGTCTTGAATTCTTCACCTCGTGATCCACCCGCCTCTGCCTCCCAAAGTGCAGGGATTACAGGTGTGAGCCACCGCGCCCAGCCTGTTTTTTTTTTTTTCTTTTTATGAGAGGGAAGCTCACTCAGTGGCCCAGGCTGGAGTGCAGTGGCGCGATCTCAGCTCACAGCAACCTCCGCCGCCAGGGCTCAAACGATCCTCCCACCTCAGCCTTCCACATAGCTGAACCACAGGCGCCCGACACCACAAGCAGCTACTTTTAAAATTTTTTGTAGAAATGGGGTTTGGCTATGTTGCTTAGGCTGGTCTCGAATTTCTGAGCTTAGGCAATTCGCCCACCTCGGCCTCCCAAAGTGCTGGGATTGCAGGCGTGGGCCACAGTGCCTGGCCTGTTGTTTTGTTTATCTGGGAACTGCCTCAACTTTTTTTTTTTTTTTTTTTTTTTGGACACAGGGTCTCACCCCGAGTGCAGTGGTACAATCAAAGCTCACTGCAGGCCGGGCGTGGTGGCTCACATCTGTAATCCCAGCACTTTGGGAGGCCGAGGCGGGCAGATCACCTGAGGTCAACCAGCCTGACCAACATGGTGAAACCCTGTCTCTACCTAAAACAAAAAAGTAGCCGGGCATGGTGGCAGGTGCCTGTAATCCCAGCTACTCAGGAGGCTGAGGCAGGAGAATTATTTGAAACCAGGAGATGGAGGTTGCAGCCTGACCAACAGGAAGAAACCCCGTCTCTACTAAAAATACAAAATTAGCCGGGCGTGGTGGCGCATGCCTGTAATCCCAGCTACTCGGGAGGCTGAGGCAGGAGAATCACTTGAACCCAGGAGGTGGAGGATGCCGTGAGCCAAGATCCCGTCATTGCACCAGCCTGGGCAACAAGAGCAAAACTCCGTCTTAAAAAAAAAAAAAAAAAATCCCTCACTGCAGCCTCAACCTCCCAGGCTCAAGCAATCCTCCCACCTCCACCTCCCAAGTAGTTGGGACTACAAGTGCACACCATCACGCCTGCCTCATTGTTTTTTATTTTTTTTTTGAGATGGAGTCTCACTCTGTCACCCAGGCTGGAGTGCAGTGGCGCCATCTCGGCTCACTGCAAGCTCCACCTCCCGGGTTCACGCCATTCTCCTGCCTCAGCCTCCCAAGTAGCTGGGTTACAGGTGCCCGCCACCACGCCCGGCTAATTTTTTTGTGTTTCTTAGTAGACACGGGGTTTCACCGTGTTGGCCAGGATGGTCTCGATCTCCTGACCTTGTGATCCGCCCGCCTCAGCCTCCCAAAGTGCTGGGATTACAGGCGTGAGCCTGCACGCCTGCCTGATTGTTTTGTATTTTTTGTAGAGATGAGGTCTTGCTATGTTGCCCAGGCTGATCTCAAACTCCCTGATAAACAAGGCTGTGGGTACCTGCTTCCTGGGGCTCTTTGCTTTGTGTTCTTTCTAGTCGGGAGCTGGGAAGAGCCACAGCTTCCAGCTTTGTCAGAGTGTCATCTCACAAACTGATCTTCCCAAAACTTCTGTCTCCCAAAGTGCCGGGATGACAGGCGTGAACCGCTGCACCTGGCCTGCCCCAGTGTGGTAGAATACACACCACATAAAATGGACGATCTTCACTATTTTTAAATCCACTGCTGTCTTTATTCCTGGCTGTTGATCTTAGGAAAACACCAAGAAGCTGGTACTTGATTTGCTAAAAAAGTCACAGACACAGCTTTACTTAATCCTCTAGAGAGGCTGGGCGTGGTGGCTCATGCCTGTAATCCCAGCACTTTGGGAGGCCGAGGTGGCTGGATCATGAGGTCAGGAGATCGAGACCATCCTGGCTAACACGGTGAAACCCCGTCTCTAGTAAAAAATATAAAAAATTAGCCGGGCGTGGTGGCAGGCGCCTGTAGTCCCCCGCCACTCGGGAGGCTGAGGCAGGAGAATGGCATGAACCCGGGAGGCGGAGCTTGGAGTGAGCCGAGATGTGCCACTGTCCTCCAGCCTGGGCGACAAAGCAAGATACCGTCTCAGAAAAAAAAAAAAACCCCTCTAGAGAATCCCAGAAAATAGAAGGAATTATTCCATTTCCCGGAAGAGGAACGTGTGGCTAAGAGAGGAGGCATCACCTGCCCAGGTGTGTCCAGCCGGGGTCCTCACTGTCTCAGGGACCTCAGTGCTCCGGACACCTGTGTCCACAAGCCAGAGACAGGATCAGAGGCGCCCTGGGTGGGATTGCCTGGGACAGTGTGCATGAAGGTGACAGTGCTGTACCTGGTACACAGCAGGTGCTTAATAAATGTTCATCCACCTCTGAGACTCTGAGGCATTGCCCTCTCACTGTTCTTTGTGATCTCACCGTAGTGCCTCTCACCTACCCGACAACAGTGCCGGCTCTTTCTTGATCCCCAAGGGCACAGCAGGGGCTCAGTATGAATGAATGAATGAACCAACGAATGTGCACCTGCACCTGCCTCCCTAGGGCTGTGAGTGGCACAAGGACAGCTCTGGTTCATCTCACACCTCCAGCACCTGGTCAGGTCTGAGATCACGTCTGCTAAATAAATGAGGTCCCACAACTCCCCCATTCCTTGTTCATTTCCTGAGTACCCGTTTACTGAGCGGGGCACATTGACTCTGAAGAAGAAAGCTTTGGCCCTTTCAGTGCCAGACTAGAAAAGAAACAAAGCAGCTGGGCATGGTGGCTCATGCCTGTAATCCCAGCACTTTGGGAGGCTGAGGCAGGCGGATCACAAGGTCAGGAATTCGAGACCAGCCTGGCCAACATAGTGAAACCCCGTCTCTACTAAAAATACAAAAATTAGCCGGGCATGGTGGCACCCGCCTATAGTCTTGGGAGGCTGAGGCAGGAGAATCGCTTGAACCCAGGAGGCGGAGGCTGCAGTGAGCCAAGATCGCATCATTGCACTCCAGCCTGGGTGACAGAGCAAGACTCCATCTCAAAAAAAAGGTCTTGCTCTGTCATCCAGGTTAGAGTGCAGTGGCACAAATACGGCTCACTGCAGCCTTGAACTCTCGGGCTCAAGTGATCCTCTTGCCTCAGCCTCCTGAGTAGCTGGGACTGTAGGCACATGCCAGGATGCCCGGCTAATTTTTTTTTTTTTTTAATCTTTGGTACACACAAGGTCTCACTATGCTTCCTAGGCTGGTCTCTAACTCCTGAGCTCAAGCAATCCTAAGAGAAGAGATTTTAAATGTGGTCACCACAAAAACAGGTAAGTATTTGAGGTAATGCATATGTTAATTAGCTTGATTTAGCCATTCTACAATGTATACAATGTACATCATGCTGTACATAATATATACAAGTATACATGTCAACTAAACAATAAATAATTTTAGTGTATTCTTGAGTCTATTTAAAGATGAACAAGAATAGAAAAGCTAGAGGATGGTCCCAGTTTTACATAAAAATATATAAATACACACACAAACCTATTATAAACAAGACTAGAAAGATCCATAAAAGTGATTCTCCTGGGGCTGGTGCAGATCAAAGTTGTTTAGTTCTGTCTTCTTTTTTATTGAGACAGAGTCTCACTCTGTCACCCAGGCTGGAGTGCACTGGCACAATCTCAGCTCACTGCAACCTCCGCCTCCTGGGTTCAAGCAATTCTCCTGCCTCAGCACCCTGAGTAGCTGAGATTACAGGTGTGCACCACCACGCCTGGCTAATTTTTGTATTTTTAGTAGAGACAGGGTTTCACCATGTTGGCCAGGCTGGTCTCGAACTCCTGACCTCAAGGGATCCACCTGCCTCAGCCTCCCAAAGTGCTGGGATTAACAGGCGTGAGCCACTGTGCCCAGCCAGTTCTGTCTTCTTTACATTGCAGTATTTTATAAATGTCCCATAACAAACACATATTTCTTTAACCATGGTGGGGAAGGCACTTGATCAATAAATGCTTAATAAGGTCAGGTGCGGTGGCTCACGCCTGTAATCCCAGCACTGTGGGAAGCTGACCTGGGTGGATCACTTGAGCCCAGGAGTTGGAGACCAGCCTGAGCAACATGGTGAAACCCCAGCTCTAAAAACAAAACAAAACAATAAAACAATAATTAGCTGTGTGTGGTGGCGTATGCCTGTACTCCCAGCTACTTGGGAGGCTGAAGTGGGAGGATCCCTTGAGCCCAGCAGGTTGAGACTGCAGTGAGCCATGACTGCACCACTGCACTCTAGCCTGGGTGACAGAGATGGATCCTGTCTCAAACAAACTAATTATTCAGGTAGGGCACGGTGGCTCACACCTGTAATCCCAGCACTTTGGGAGGCCAAGGGAAGCAGATCACCTGAGGTCAGGAGTTCGAGACCAGCCTGACCAACATGGTGAAACCCTGTCTCTACCTAAAACACAAAAAATTAGCCAGGCACGGTGGCGGGTGCCTGTAATCCCAGCTACTCAGGAGGCTGAAGCAGGAGAATCATTTGAAATCGGGAGACGGAGGTTGCAGTGAGGCAAGATCACACCACTGCACTCCAGCCTGGGCAACAGAGCGAGACCCCATCTGTCTCAAAACAAACAAACAAAACAAAGTCAGCCGGGCGCAGTGGCCCACGCCTGTAATCCCAGCACTCTGGGAGGCTGAGGCAGGAGAATCACCTGAGGTCAGGAGTTCCAGACCAGCCTGGCCAACGTGGTGAAACCCCGTCTCTACTAAAAATACAAAAATTAGCAGGGTATGGTAGCAGGCATCTTAATCCCAGCTACTCAGGAGGCTGAGGTCCGCGCTTGAACCCAGGAGGCAGAGGTTACAGTGAGCCGAGATCGCGCCATTGCACTCAGCCTGGCCGACAGAGTGAGACTCCCTCTCAAAATAACAGTAGTAATAAATAAATAAAGTCGTTGCTTGCAGGCTGTACAAAAAAAGGCAGCAACTGGACTTGGCCCCTAACTCATAGTTTGCCAAAACTCTGCTCTAAAGTTTGCTTGCTTCATTCACTTCTCAGAGCCTGGCCCTGGGAGCCGCCTATCCCAGTCCTCATCCCACATGGCCAGCGTTCTCCTACCTTCAATGATCTTTGCTGCAAACTCTCGGATAGACTTGAGGGAAGCCAAGTCCAGGTGCCGGGCGTTGACATGGTGATTGAGGGTCTCCCCGCGGATGTCCTTTGCTGCCGCCTCACACTTCTCCATGTCTCGGCAGGCCAGGATGATGTTGCCTCCTGAAAACCCAGGATGGAAAAAGATTTAAATTAATAATCCACTCCTGGGTACTGACCCCAGAGACATGAAAACATACGTCTACACAAAAACACATCCACCAATGTTCACTGCGGCATTCTTCACAAAAGCCAAAAGGTAGAAACAACCAAATGCCCATCTGTGGATGAAGGGACAACAAAATGTGGTCCATCCATAGAGATGGAATATTAGACGGCCGTGAAAAGGAGTGAAGCACTGGCTCATGCTACAGCAAGGATGACCGTCAGAAACACTGTGCTCGGGGAAAGAAACCAGACACGAAAGACCACACAGCGTACAATCCCATTTACATGAATTCTATGTATATGATTTCACACCTATGAAACGCCCAGAATAGGCAAATCCATAGAGAAAGAAAATAGATTCTTGGTTTTCTAGGGCAGGGGGTGGGGAGAGGGAATTACAGCTTGATAGTTACAGTGAGCAGGTTTCTTTCTAGGGTAACAGATGTTCTAAGATTGATTTTAAAGATGGTTGCATCATTCTGTGACTATACTAAACATCACTGAATTGGTCGGGCACGGTGGCTCACACCTGTAATTCCAGCACTTTGGGAGGCCAAGGCAAGAGGATTCCCCATCCTCTCCTTTTTTTTTTTTTTTTAGATGGAGTCTCACTCTGTCACCCAGGCTGGAGTGCGGTGGCGCAATCTCGGCTCACTGCAACCTCCACCTCCTGGGTTCAAGCAATTCTCCTGCCTCAGCCTCCCGAGTAGCTGGGATTACAGGCACCTACCACAACTAGCTAATTTTTTATTTTTTTATTTTTAGTAGAGACAGCGGTTTCACCATGTTAGCCAAGCTAGTCTTGAACTTCTGACCTCAGGTGATCCACCCCGCGGCCTCCCAAAGTACTGGGATTACAAATAAGCCACAATGCCCAGCCTCCAATTTTTTTTGTTGTGGTAAAATACAAATCACTTAAAATTTATCATCTTAACCCCCTTTTCTTTTTGTTTATTATTATTTTTTTTTTTTTGAGTCAGTCTCACTCTGCTGCCGCGGCTGGAGTGCTGGCGCCATCACAGCTCATTCAGCCTTGAACTCCTAGGCTCAAGTGACCTGGGACTATAGGTACCACCTGTGCCAGCATGCCTGGCTAACTCTGGTAGAGATGGGGGTGTTGCTATGGTGTCCAGGCTGGTCTGGAACCCCTGGCCTCAAGTGATCCTCCTGCCTCAGCCTCCAAAAGTGCTGGAATTATAGATGTGAGCCACCGAGACCCGCCCTCTTAGCCATTTTTAAGTGTCCAGTTCATTGGTATTAAAAACATTTATGGCTGGGCCGGGCATGGTGGCTCACACCTGTAATCCCAGCACTTTGGGAGACCAAGGCAGG
The DNA here is from genome assembly GCF_000001405.40 of Homo sapiens. Taxonomy (NCBI): domain Eukaryota; kingdom Metazoa; phylum Chordata; class Mammalia; order Primates; family Hominidae; genus Homo; species Homo sapiens. Next base: position 1,038,172 of record NW_003571056.2, read on the forward strand.
TGGATCACCTGAGGTCAGGAGTTCAAGACCAGCCTGGCCAACACATTACAAACTTAGCTGGGTGTGGTGTTGCATGCCTGTAATCCCAGCTACTCGGGTGGCTGAGGCAGGAGAATTGCTTGAACCCGGGAGGCGAAGGTTGCAGTGAGCCAAGATCATGCCACTGCACTCCAGCCTGGGCGACAAGAGCAAAACTCCATCTCAAAAAAAAAAAAACAATAATAATAATTCCTAATGTTGTGCAACCATTACAACCATCCATCTCTCAAATTGTTTCATCTTGCCAAACTAAACTTCCGTTTCCATTAAACAGTAACTCCCCATTCTCCCCTCCCCTCCTGACCCCTGGCAAGCACCATTCCAACTTCTCTATGAATTTAACTGTAGGTAGCTCCTGTAAGTGGAATCATACCGTATTTGCTCTTCTGTCGACTGGCTTATTTCACTTCATGGAATGTCCTCAAGGTTCATCTGTTTCAATGCCCTTTTTTTTGTTTTGCTTTGTTTTGTTTTGTTTTTGAGTCTCACTCTGTCACCCAGGCTGGAGTGCCGTGGCGCCATCTCTGCTCACTGCAACCCCTGCCTCTCAGGTTCAAGCGATTCTCCTGCTTCAGCCTCCCAAGCAGCTGGGACTACAGGTGCCCACCACAACTCCTGGCTAATTTTTGTATTTTTAGTAGAGAGGGGGTTTCACCATGTTGGTTAGGCTGGTCTCGAACTCCTGACCTCGTGATCCGCCAGCTTTGGCCTCCCAAAGTACTGATTACAGGCGTGCACCACCGCGCCCGGCCAGAATGCCCTTCCTTTTTAAGGCTGAATCATATGCCCCTGTCTATAGAAGCCACATTCTGTTTCCCTGTTCATCTGTGGATGGGTGCCTGGGTTCCTTCCACCTCCGGACTGTGAATAATGCTGCAGTGAGCATGGATGTACAGATATCTCTCTGAGAGCCAAAGCAGGGGAGATTTTACCTCTCCTGGCCAGTTCCAAGGCGGTCTGCTTCCCGATGCCTGTGTTGGCACCCGTCACGATGACCGTCTTCCCAGGGATGGTGGCCTTGCTGGGGCAAGCCCCACCGGTGACATAGTCCCTGAGGGTGAGAAGCGGCACGGTCAGTCCTGTGGGCCCACTCTCACCCCACGTGCCCCTGACTGAATGATCTCAGGCAACCTTGTCTGAGCTCACTCACATACCCCAACTGAAACACAGACATCATCACATCACACCAAGGGACCTCTGTCATGTTCTCCATAAGTGGCTCCACCCAGTGTCTGGCGTGTGGAACGCCTTCAGCAAGTGACAGTCATTATTTTATAAATGCTCACTGCATGAGATTCCCGGCCAGGTGAGGGGGCTTGCACCTGTAATCCCAGCACTTTGGGAGGCCAAAGTTTTGGGGGTGGGGGGGGGCGGGGGCGGATCACTTGAGGTCAGGAGTTCGAGTCCAGCCTGGCAAACATGGCGAGACCCCGTCTCTACTTAAAATACAAAAATTAGCCAGATGTGTAGGGAAAAGAGAGATTAGACTGTTACTGTGTCTATATAGAAAGGAAAGACATAAGAGACTCCATTTTGAAAAAGACCTGTACTTTGAACAATTGCTTTGCTGAGATGTTGTTAATTTGTAGCTTTGACCCAGCCACTTTGACCCAATCTGGAGCTCACAAAAACCTGTGTTGTATGAAATCAAGGTTTAAGGGATCTAGGGCTGTGCAGGAAGTGCCTTGTTAACACAATGTTTCCAAGCAGTATACTTGGTAAAAGTCATCGCCAGTCTCTAGTCTCAATAAACCAGGGGCACGATGCACTGCAGAAAGCTGCAGGGACCTCTGCCCTTGAACACAGAGTATTGTCCAAGGTTTCTCCCCGTGGGATAGTCTGAAATATGGCCTCGTGGGATGAGAAAGACCTGACCGTCCCCCAGCCCAACACCCGTAAAGGGTCTGTGCTGAGGTGGATTGGTAAAAGAGGAAAGCCTCTTGCAGTTGAGAGAGAGGAAGGCCACTGTCTCCTGCCTGACCCTGGGAACTGAATGTCTCGGTATAAAACCTGATTGTACATTTGTTCAATTCTGAGACAGGAGAAAAGCCGCCCTATGGCGGGAGGCGAGACATGTTTACAGCAATGCTGCCTTGTTATTCTTTACTCCGCTGAGATGTTTGGGTGGAGAGAAACATCAATCTGGCCTACGTGCACGTCCAGGCATAGTACCTTCCCTTGAACTTAATTATGTCATAGATTCTTTTGCTCACATGGTTTTTGCTGACCTCATTATCACCCTGCTCTCCTACTACATTCCTTTTTGCTGAAATAATGAAGATAATAATCAGTAAAAACTGAGGGAACTCAGAGGCCGGTGCCGGTGCAGGTCCTTGGTATGCTGAGCGCCGGTCCCCTGGGCCCACTGTTGTTTCTCTATACTTTGTGTCTTATTTCTTTTCTCAGTCTCTCGTCCCACCCAACTAGAAATACCCACAGGTGTGGAGGGGCAGGCCACCCCTTCACAGGCGTGGTGGTGCACACCTGTAATCTCAGCTACTCAGGGGGCTGAGGCACGAGAATTGCTTGAACCTGGAAGGCGGAGGTTGCAGTGAGTCGAAATGGTGCCAGCCTGGGCAACAGAGCGAGACTCTGTCTCAAAAAAATTTAAATTTAAATTTAAAATGCCCGCTGCACGAGATTCCCAAGGCTGCTGTACGCATTACCACAGACTTAGTGGCTTAAAACCACATAAGTGCATCCTCCTCCAGTTCGGCAGGTCAAGAGTCCAAAACATGTCTCACTGGAATAAATCAAGGTATTGGTAGAGTCAGGTTCCTTCTGGAGGCTCTAGGGAAGAATCCACTTCCAGCTCCTACAGACCGCCACATTCCTCCACTCTTGGCCCCGCCTCCATCTTCAACCTGCATCCTCACTGGAACCTCTCCTTTATTTATTTATTTATTTACTTATTTATTTTTGAGACAGAGTCTCGCTCTGTCGCCCAGGCTGGAGTGCAGTGGCTCAATCTCAGCTCACTGTAACCTTCGCCTCACAGGTTCAAGCGATTCTCCTGCCTTAGCCTCCTGAGTGGCTGGGATTACAGGCACATGCCACCACACCTGGCTAATTTCTTTTGTATTTTTAGTAGAGACAGAGTTTTACCACGTTGGTCAGGCTGGTCTCGAACTCCTGACCTTGTGATCCGCCTGCCTTGGCCTCCCAAAGTGCTGCGATTACAGGCGTGAGCCACCACACCCAACAACCTCTCCTTCTATCTTCCATCTCCCCTCTGACTGAGCCTCCTGCTCCCTCTTATAAGGACCCTATAAGACTACAAGGCAGGACCGGCACAGTGCCTCACACCTGTAATCCCAGCACTTTGGGAGGCCAAGACAGGAGGATCACTTGAGGTCAGGAGTTCGAGACCAGCCATGGCCAACATGCTGACACCCCATCTCTACTAAAAATACAAAAATTAGCAGGGCTTGGTGGTGCACGCCTGTAGAGTCAGCTACTCGGGAGGCTGAAGTGGGAGGACCACCTGAGCCCAGGGAGGGTGAGGCTGCAGTGAGCTGTGACAGCATGACTGCACTCCAGCCTGGGTGACAGAGAGACCCTGTCTCCAAAAAAAAAAAAAGACTACATGATAATCATAAGATCCTTCACTTGGCCGGGCACGGTGGCTCACGCCTGTAACCCCAGCACTTTGGGAGGCCAAGGTGGCCAGATCCCCTTTGGTCGGGAGCTCAAGACCAGCCTGACCAACATGGAGAAACCTCGTCTCTACTAAAAATACAAAATTAGACAGGCGTGGTGGCACATGCCTGTAATCCCAGCTACTCAGGAGGCTGAGGCCGGACAATCGCTTGAACCCGGGAGGTGGAGGTTGTGGTGAGCCGAGGTCGTGCCATTGCACTCCAGCCTGGGCAACAACAGCGAAACTCTGTCTCAAAAAAAAAAAAGATGCTTCACTTAACACATCAGCGAGAACCTCTGACACGTGAGGTAATGTCGTCACACCTTCCGAGGATTAGGACGTGGACCCCTCTACGGAGTCACGACTCTGCCCACCACACCCATGTCCCACAGAGGCTAACGCTGGCAACAAGATAGTGTCCAGCAACAGGAGGCTGAGCAGGTAAACAGCACTGCACCCACAGGAGAGAAGGGCACCATGCAATACAGTGGCCACCAGCCACAGAGGCTAATTTTTAAGAAAGTTTAAATTAAGTAGGCTGGGCGAGGTGGCTCACGTCTGTAATCCCAGCACTTTGGAGGCCGAGGCAGGCGGATCACCTGAGGGCAGGTGTTTGAGACCAGCCTGGCCAACATGGCAAAACCCCGTCTCTGCGAAAAATACAAAAATTAGCCGGGCGTGGTGGCGCACGTGTGATCTCAGCTCCTGGGGACGCCAAGGTGGGAGGATCACCTGAGCCCAGGAGGTCAAGGCTGCAGTGAGCCAAGATCGCGCCACTGCACTCCAGCCTGGGCGACAGAGCCAGATTCTGCCTTTAAAAATAAACGAACAAATAAATAATACAAAACAACAAAATAAAGAGTTTAAAAGTCTGGAAGGAAAGCAACATTTACAAGGGCCCAGGCTCGCCCTTCCCTCCGAGTGACCTTGGGCCGGTGACCTGGCCGGCCAGAGCGCAGGTTTGCCCCACTCCGGGCGGGCACTGCGGGTCGGGAGCTACGGGGCCTGGACCCGGGTGCGAGGGGCGGGGGTCTCCGCCGCCTTCCCGGCCCCTGCGCTGGGGGCCCGCCTTGACCGCGCACGCGGGGCTAGAATGTACTCACTTGAGCAGCACGGCGGCGCCTGCTACCGTGCCCAGCGCCGACAGCGGCAGCAGGTAGCGGCTCATGCCGGGCCGGGGACAGGCGTCAGGCGTCAGGGGTCGGCGCGGAGCTTGCTGCACACCAGCCGCCTGGGTAGCTCCGAGGAAGAGCGCGCGACGCAGCCACAGGCGAGCGGAGGCGCAGGCGCGGCTGGGCCCGCGTCCGGAACTGGGCTGCGAGGGGCGGGGCGCGGGCGGAGGGGGCGGGGATCCTAGGGACGGGACCTATGAGCATCGGTCCTGAGCGCTGTCACAGCTGGGATTGGTGGTTTCAGGAGCCTGTGGGCGTGGCTAGTCCGGGGGCGGGGCCTATGGTTTGTTCGAATGACGTCACACTTGCCGCAGCGTATAAGGCGCTACGCAGTTCTGGAGTGAAATAGGTTCGAATCCCACCACTGTCAATTCCAGACTGTGACCCTCTGTGTGTCTTTCAACTATATCAGCCTATTCCCTCATCTGGAAATGTGTGTTTACCTTCTTCATAGACTTTTGGAGATAATTTGAGAATTTCCATGCACAGAAACAAGGATCTAGTAGCCTGTGGGTACCCAAGCTCCTGGGGTCCTGCAGGAGAAGGCGGCTGGGGGCCTGGACTCCTGGGTCTGAGGGAGGAGGGGCTGGGGGCCTGGACTCCTGGGTCCAAGGGAGGAGGGGCTGGGAGCATGGACTTCTGGGTCCGAGGGAGGAGGGCCGGGTGCCTGGACTGCTGAGTCTGAGGGAGGAGGGGCTGGGGGCCTGATTCATTCCCAAATTATCAGAATCTCATCCCCATGTCTGGCCCTGCACAGAGATATCTTCCCTGAACTCTGCCTGAACTACCTTTCTTAGATTGAGTATTGCACACACTCCTGCACTTACCTGTCCATGTTTGTCACCCCCACCAAACCGGGATGCACCTCTGGGCACCTGCTTCCCCTTGCACTGCTCACAGCGAGTGTATCTGATCACCACCTCCTACCCCTGACTGTGCCTGAGGTGCCAGGAGCAGACACCGCTGGAAACAGGGAAGAATTCAACCCAATCTAACTAGGAGTAAGTTTTCTTCCTCATCAGATGAACTGTCATCTTCTTATATGAGCCCTGCCATAATGGAGATTATACAGGCAGGAAGAGCTATTTTAAGACCTTAGTCAATGGCCGGGCACGGTGGCTCACGCCTGTAATCCCAGCACTTTGGGAGGCCGAGACAGATGGATCACGAGGTCAGGAGATTGATACCAGCCTGGCCAACATGGTGAAACCCTGTCTCTACTAAAAATACAAAAATTAGCTGGATGTGGTGGCACTCACCTGTAGTCCCAGCTACTCAGGAGGCCGAAGCAGGAGCATCACTTGAACTCGGGAGGTGGAGGTTGCAGTGAGCCGAGATTGCCCTACTGCATTCCAGCCTGGCGACAGAGTGAAATTCTGTCAAAAAAAAAAAAACCTTAGGCCTGTAGACCTTAAGCTCTCACCATCTCAAACGTATTAAACCAGTTACACAATGCCAAATGCTGTATAAGAGGCACTTGGAGGAGTCAAATTCATAGAGACAGAAAACAGAGTGGTGGCTGCAGGGGGCTGGAGATGAGATTGGGAAGTCACAGGATTTGTTTTTGTTTGTTTGTTTGTTTTGTTTTGTTTTTTGAGAGACAGTCTCACTGTGTCACCCAGGCTGGAGAGCAGTGGGCGATCTCAGCTCACTGCAACCTCTGCCTCCTAGGTTCAAGCGATTCTCCTGCCTCAGCCTCCCGAGTAGCTGGGGCTACAGGCACGTGTCACCACACCCGGCTAATTTTTGTATTTTTAGTAGAGACGGGGTTTCACCATGTTGGCCAGGTTGGTCTCAAACTCCTGACCTCAGGTGATCCACCTGCCTCGGCCACCCAAAGTGCTGGGATTACAGGCATGAGCCACCGCACCCGGCCGGGAAGCTGTTTTTTAATAGATACAGAGTTTGTTTTGCAAAATAAAAAAAAGACCTGAAGGTGGACGGTGGTGATGGTTGCACAACAATGTGAATATACTTAACATCACTGAATTGTACACTTAAAATGGTTAAGATGGTACATTTTACTTTATGCATAGTTTACCAAACTAAAAATAAAGAAAAATTTTAGACTGGGCATGGTGGCTCATGCCTGTAATCCCAGCACTTTGGGAGGCCAAAGTGGAGAATAGTATGAGCCCAGGAGTTTGAGAGCGGCCTGGACAACACGGCAAAACCTTATCTCTACAAAAAATACAAAAATTAGCAGGTTTGGTGGCACGCATCTGCACCCTCAGCTACTTGGGAGGCTGAGGTGGGAGGTCTGCTTGAGCCCAGGAGGTCAAGGCTATGATGAGCTGTGATTGTGCCACTGCACCCCAGGCTGGGTGACAGAGCAAGACCCCATCTCAAAAATAATAATAATAAATGTTTACATTTAATAACATGGGCAATTGGTTCAGATGTTCATTTTCTCAACCTTGAAAAAAAAACAACACTGTTTTTCCCTGTCTTTTTCTCCTTTTCTGTAAACTGAAATCCTAATATCATTGACTTCCAGGACAGAGATCAGCAAACTTTTTCTACAAACAGCCAGATAGTAAATAATTTCAGCTTTGTGATCCACACAGTGGCTGTTGCACCTCCTCTGCCAGAGGAGCTGGGAAGCAGCCACAGATGATGTGAAAACAAGTGAGCACAGCTGTGTTCCCATAAAACTTTATTTATAAAAATAAGCAGTGCGCCACAGTTCGCCAGCTCCTGTTTGAGAGTCTCTCTCCGATGCCCAGGCTGGAGCGCAGTGATGCAATCTCAGCTCACTGCAACCTCTGCCTCCTGGGTTCAAGCGATTCTCCTGCCTCAGCCTCATGAGTAGCTGGGATTACAGGCGCTCGCCGCCACACCTGGCTGATTTTTGTATTTTTAGTAGAGACGGGGTTTCACCATGTTGGCCAGGCTGGTTTTGAACTCCAGGCTTCAGGTGATCCACCTGCCTCAGCCTCCCAAAGTGCTGGGATTACAAAGCGTGAGCCACTGCGCCCAGCTACCTGTCATTGAATTTGGAAGGATGGCATGAAGTCATTCATAACAAGGACTTAATCCATAGTAAGTGCCAGAACATTGCTGGCTGTTAATATGGTTATTATAAAGAGAACAATGCATGCATATTCCTCCTCTGAGGATCTCCTACCTGATTCCCAGACACACCCAAGGGAGTTAGAACATCTGTTTGGACTCCAGGTGGGCTGTCCACGCCTTTACCATTTTCCTGGTTGTTAACATGTTCCTGATCAGCACTGGGTGCTGTCCCAGGTGCTGAGAGGATTCTCCCACAATGCCCTTTGCTTTCCCCATCAGAGGGTTTATGGCACCCAATTCTCATTCACATTCTGTCTCTCCTTTCTCGTTCTTCTCTATCTCTCCTCTCTCTGTCTCCTTTTCTCTTCCTCTCTCCCTCTCTGTCTTCTCTCCCTCTCTCTCCCTCTCTCTTCCTCTCTCTCTTCCTCTGTCCTCTTTTCTCTCTCTCTCTCCCTCTCTCTCACATCTCTCTTTCCCTTCCTTTCTCTTTCCTCTCTCTTCCTCTCTCCCTCTCCCTCCTTCTGTCTTCCTCTATCCCTCTCTTCCTCTTTTTTCTTCCTCTCTTCTTGTCTCTTTCTCTCCTCTCTCTCTCCCTCTTTCTCTTTCTCTCTCTCTTCCTCTCCCTTCCTCTTCCTCTCTCTCCTTCTTTCTTCCTCTCTCTCTTCTTGTGTGTGTCTCTCTCTCTCTGTTCTCTCTCTCCCTCTCCCCCCAACTCTCTTTCCCTACACACATCTTAAGAGGCCTCAGCAGTGTAAGGTAAGTTTAGCGACCCTGTGGCTGTGTAGAGATAAGCAAAGGGGGGCAAGGAGCTCCAGTGGTCCCAGACTCCAGCCATTTGAGTCTTTGCAGCCCAAGCACTGCCCCAGCTTCTTGACAGCCCCAGCCATCACCAAAGGGCACACAGATAAGCTGCCTCCACCAAGGCCTGTGCAGATGGTAGGTTTTTGAGTAAAATAGATATGATCCTTGTCTGAAGCCACTGAGTTTTAGAATAATTTGTTATATGGCCATAGTAACTGGAATGATTGCTGTAGGTTTATTTTATTTTATTCATCCTTGCTGCATGCAACACATGCATGGCTCAGTAACTAGAAGGAAAGAAGAGAAGAAGGGAGGGAGAGGCAGAGGGTGGACAGGAGAGGATGGTAGGAAGGAAAGACAGGAAAGGAGGGTGTTGGTGGCCTTGCCTGCAAGCTGAGCAGACACCACGCAAACAGGTGACCTCCCAGTTAAGATGGAGGGGACTCAGGGCTCAGGAGGGGCAGAAGGTCCCCGTGTCGGAGAGCTGGGCAAGCTTTCTGCAGGAAATGATGGGGATCACGGCCATGTGAGCCGGCAAGATTTCCCTCAGCCAGGGAGGAGACTCCGGGCTGTGGGAACAGCTTAAGCAGAAGGCATGGGACAGGAATGCATATGAGAGATATTGTGGGAGGAGGGAGGGCTGCCTGGGCTGGCATGCAGGGTATGGGAGGGGGTGGAAGGGCTGAGGCGGGAGCCATCAGTAAAAGGACCCAGAGCGCGGCTCCAATGCCATGGTAGGAAGCTTGGCGTTGACTCAGAGGGCGCTGGGTACCGCTGAAGAGTGTTGAGCCAAGGAGGGTCATGTCACGGGCAGATACATGTTTTAGAATTTCTTCTTTTCTGGCTGAGATGTAGAGTATGGACTGGAGAGAAGCACAGGGGACATAGGAAAGGTAGTTCTAGAAAGAGGGGCTGTCCCACCAGGGAAAGTCAACCAACTGTTCCCCAGTATCCATTCCTCCCTTCCAGCTCATGGCACTAAAGCCACTGATTGATTAGCTGGGTGCTATCAATCTCTCTCTCATCTCTCTCTCCCTCTTTCTCTCCCCCTCATCTGTGTCTTTTCTCTCTCTCATCTCTCTGTCTCCCTCTTTCTGTCCCCCTCCTCCGTGTCTCCTCTCTCTCTCTTCTCTGTCTCATATCTCTCTCATTGCTCTCTCCCTCTTTCTCTCCCCCTCCTGTGTCTCCTTCTCTCTCTCTCTTTCTCCCCCATCTCTCTTTCTCTCCCCCTTCCTCTCTTTCTCCTCTCACTCTTCCTGTTTCTCTCTTTCTCTTTCTTCCTCTCTTTCTCCCTGTCTCTCTCTTCCTCTTTTCCTTTGTCTCTCTCTCTCCCCCCAACTCTCTCTCCCTACACACATCTTGAGAGACCTCAGCAGTGTAAGATAAGTTTAGCTACTCCACGGCCTGGCACGGTAGCTCACGCCTTTAATCCCAGCACTTTGAGAGGCCAAGGCAGGCAGATCACTGGAGATTAGGGGTTTGAAACCAGCCTGGCCAACATGGTGAAACCCTGTCTCTACTACAAGTACCAAAAAATTAGCTGGGCATGGTGGCACGCGCCTGTAGTCCCAGCTACTCGGAAGGCTGAGGCAGGAGAATCGCTTGAGCCTGGGAGGCGGAAGTTGCAGTGAGCCGAGACCACACCTCTGCACTCCAGCCTGGGTGACAGAGTGAGATTCTGTCTCAAAAAAAGAAAGAGGAGGCCGGGCACTGTGGCTCAGGCCTGTAATCCCAGCACTTTGGGAGGCCGAGGCATGCAGATCACGAGGTCAGGAGATCGAGACCATCCTGGCTAACACAGTGAAACCCCGTCTCTATTAAAAATACAAAAAAATTAGCCAGGCACGGTGGCGGGTGCCTGTAGTCCCAGCTACTCGGGAGGCTGAGGCAGGAGAATGGCGTGAACCCGGGAGGCGGAGCTTGCAGTGAGCCGAGATCGCGCCACTGCACTCCAGCCTGGGCGACAGAGCAAGACTCTGTCAAGAAAGAAAGAAAAGAAAAGAAAAAAAGAAAAGAATAAAGGGAGGGAGGGAAGGGAAAGGAAGGGAAGGAAGGAAGGAAGGAAGGAAGGAAGGAAGGAAGGAAGGAAGGAAGGGGAGGGGAGGGGAGGGGAAGGGAGGGAAGAAAGGCAGGCCCTGATGTTCAGGGAGCTGAGAGTGAAGTCACCGGCTCCAACCCAGGATCCAAACTCAAGTCTGTCTGGGGTCCTATCCCCGTCACCACCCCCCGCCCCGACCCATCCCCCAGAGACCTGGGAAGGAGCCAGGCTCCTCCGGTTTCAGGAAAGGGCTGCACAAACCACCCCGCCACGATCCCTCCCAGAGAACAAACAGCTCCCGGCCACCGGCAGTCTCCCTCCTCCTCCTGCCAGGCTGGTTCCCAGACCCACCCTCCCTGTGTCATAAGCGCCTCTCCCCGCACTCTCACCAGGGCTGGCTGTTCTCAGAGGAACGCCCAGGAAAAACCTACCCGAACCCCTTTCAGCTGGGAAGGGGACCCGCCTGGGCTTCCTCACCGCCGATGAGACCTCCCTCGTCGTACACTTAGAGCTGCCTGTGTTTTCCTTCCTTCCTTAAGCGGGCTGGGAACTCTAGACACTCAGGGATGGGCCAGCCCATTAGAGTAAGCATTCGGCCACCTCTAGGCTGCTACGGTCACTGCTGCTGTCACCATCAACGTGACTGTCTCACACCTCACTTCCTCCGGCCAGCCACACCCCTGCAGATTTAACCCGCCAGCCTCCCTAAGGTTTCCTCTGCCTGAAATCCTCTCTGCATTCCTGGCTCATTCTCGAAATTGAGGTCAAAGCTCAGATGCCGCCTCCTTCCCTGACCACCCTACCTGAAGCAGCCGCACCTGCCTGCTCCTAGTCACGCCGTTCCTTCACCTGTTTCGTTTCCTCCACAGGGTTTACCACAATCTGAAAGTCTTATTCATGCAGGTGTCTACTTGTTTATCTCCCCACCACACCTACTAGGATGACAATATCACAAGGGCTGGGGTTTCATCTGTCTCCTCCTCCTCTGTATCTCCAGCACATGAAACATGCTTGGCACACTGTAGGTGCTTAAGTATTTGCTACTACATCACTTTGGGATTTTGCATAGGACACTCCCAATGCTTAGAATGTCAATCTTTGCTTCATTGTCCTTGGCAAACTCCTATTCATCCTTTGAAACCCCATCCATTTATCCCTTAACCAGGAAAGGCTTCTGTGCCTCATACAACCACCCATAAAGCTGGATTAGGGCTTTCTCTGGGGACACCCTTGCCCTGTGCCACACTTCCATTAGCGCACATATCCCCCATGAATTGTGCACACCAGCAGGGTCTAGAGTACGGCACACATTTTGTCTCAGGAGCTACGTATTGAATAAATAAATTAATTACTTTTTTTGAGACAAGGTCTTGCTCTGTCACCCAGGCTGGAGTGCAGTGGTGCAATCGTGGCTCACTGTACCTTGACCTCCCAGGTTCAAGCAATCCTCCCACCTCAGCCTCCCAAGCAGCTAGGACCACAGATGCAGGCCACTATGCCTGGCTAATTTTTAATTTTTTTTTTGGTAGGGATGGAATCTCCCTATGTTGCCCAGGCTGGTTTCAAACTCCTAGGCTCAAGGGATCCTCCTGCCTCTGCTTCCCAAAGTACTGGGACTATAGGTGTGAGACGCCACACTCAGCCTCATTATTTAATATGTAAGTAGCTATATCTCTCTGAGACCCAGCCCCATCTAATTTATAACCTCCCTCCTTCTCAAGAACATGCCTCAGCTCCCATTGCCAGGGAATCTGACCTTTCTCCTTGTCATAGGATTTTTTTTTTTTTTTGAGTCAGAATCTCAGTCAGTCACCCAGCCTGGAGTGCATGGCGCAATGGCTCGCTGCAACCTCTGCCTCCCGGGTTCAAGTGATTCTCCTGCCTCAGTCTCCCTAGTAGCTGGGACTACAAGCGCACGCCACCACACCCAGCTACTTTTGTAGAGATGGGGTTTCACCATGTTGGCTAAGCTGGTCTCGAACTCCTGATCTCAAGTGATGGCCTCCCAAAATGCTGGGTAACAGGTGTGAGGCACCACATCCGGCTGTCATAGGAATTTGTCAGCAAATCCTACAGACTAGAGGATGTGTGTTGGGTGGTGTGGGGGTGGGGATAACGGAGGAGATGGGGGGTGAGCTCTTCAAGCCCCAGGGGAGAATTCTGTTCCGTTCCTGGGACATCCCAGGTGAGAGGGAAGAAAGGCCAGCCCCCCAAGACAGCTATCCCAGACTGGGACAGAGGCAAACCCTGACCACAGAGCCCTGTCACTCACCCAAGAACAGGTGCCAATGACAGAATAGCCAGGCCGAGGGGGGAGAGAGGTGCTTCGGTGATGGATTTCCCTGGTGACTTGCCAAGACAGGGCTTTACTGCCTCCGCCCTGGACTGGCTGAGTCAGACTGTGCAGGGGTGGACACTTTGACTGGTATTTGGGAGGCATTTGCTGTGGGTTACAGAGAGGGAGGGGCCTCCTTTGCGGCCAGAGAAGGAGGAAAGAGGCCCTGGGCCCTGGGACTTGGGACTTGGGTGGAGGCTCGGGTTTCGGTCTCACCTGCTGCTCCAGACCATGGCCTGGAGGGCCGCCTGCGCCACCCCCAAAGCAATGAGATAGCCCCTCCTCCCTCAGACCCAGGAGTCCAGGCCCCCAGCCCCTCCTCCCTCAGACCCAAGAGTCCAGACCCCAGCCCCTCCTCCCTCAGACCCAAAGGCCTCGGACCCATACCAAATGCTTCTATGAGATAGTTTTCTCCCCTTGTTCATGAAGAAATGAGCCCAGGCCCAGTCAGATCTGCATCTGTGTCACAGCCCAGGGCCACTGTAACCTTAGGCTACTGACTTCCCTCTCTGAGCCTCTGTTTTCTCCTGTCAATGGGGCAAGGGGTCTGCTCCTTCCCTCAAACCCCAACTCAGGTACAGTCAAGCACAGAAAATACTTGTGGCATGAATGTGATGAGAACACAGAATTGCAGAAGCCAAAGAAAGAGAAGCGTAAGGGCCCTCCTTCCACCCCTACCTCCCCCACCCGCTGCTACACGCACCAGGACCACCTGCTGGGTAGCCAGGAGCTCACAGTCTAGCCCCGCTGGCCACCCCTGCAGCCCCCATCCTTCACTCAGGCAGTTGCAGGGCCCAGAACACCCCTATCTTCTAGGATTGACACTGGCTGTCAAACTCATCCTTCAAGGTGATTCCTGGCCTGCCCTCCTCCTCCAGGCAGCCTGTCCTCCTCCTCCAGGCAGCCTGTCCTGACCCTCAGCAGCCTCTCCTGGCCTTGGCAGAGCCCCTCGTGTCCTCCCTTGCAGCACGCATGGGAAGAAAGGCCATCGTCCTCGCCATTGCTAACACCAGCCTTGCGTTTCCTCTTTGCCAGGTACTGTATTGACAACTCTCTATAACCTGACTTTATCCTCCCAATAAGCTGGGTGTGGTGGGTGGCTCATGCCTGTCATCCCAGCACTTCGGGAGGATAAGGCAGGAGTATCACATGAGCCCAGGAGTTGGAGACCAGCCTGGGCAACATAAGGAGACTCTACTATATATATGTGTATATATATTTATATATAGTCTGAGATGGGAGGATCACCCCAGTAGGTCGAGACTGCAGTGAGCTGTGATTATGACACTGCATTCTAGCCTGGGCCACAGAACTAGACCTTGTCTCAATTAAGAAAAAAAATGGGGATAATAGGACCCATTCCATAGGATGTGGTGAGGATTATGCATACACACACACACACACACACACACACATTTATGATGTACTGAGAAGATATAAGCACACAATAAGTATCTCCAAAATTATCAAGTGGCAAAGCCAGGATTCAGACCCACACCTGCCCGAGGCTCTCTGCCATCAGACCACACTATATCTCTTTCTCTCTGTTCCTTCATCCCCATCAATCGAAGGCAAAAATGTGCCTTCTCTGATTTCCAGGCTCACTCAGCATAGACCGTGGAGGCAACATATCTTGAATGAAGCAACAAAGCAGTAATGCACATGAATGCACCAAATGCCAAAAGCTCGTTTACTCAACAAGTATCTCTCCAACACTTTCTATGTGCTAGACCCAATTCTGTGTGCTGCAGATTAAGTGGAGGACTGATCACACAAAAATCTTTGCCCTTGTGAAGCTTGCATTTTTTTTTTTTTTTTTTTGAGATGGAGTCTTGCTCTGTCACCCAGGCTGGAGTGCAGTGGAGCAATCTTGGCTCACTGCAATCTCCACCTCCCGGGTTCACGCCATTCTCCTGCCTCAGCCTCCGGAGTAGGTGGGACTACAGGCACCCACCACCAAGCCTGGTTAATTGTTTTGTATTTTTAGTAGAGACGGGGTTTCACCATGTTAGCCAGGATGGTCTCAATCTCCTGACCTCGTGATCCACACGCCTCGGCCTCCCAAAGTGCTGGGATTACAGGCGTGAGCCACCACACCCGGCCGCTTTTTTTTTTTTTAAGATGGAGTCTCGCTCTGTCACCCAGGCTGGAGTGCAGTGGCACGATCATCTCGGTTCACTGCAACCTCCACCTCCCAGGTTCAAGTGACTCTCTTGCCTTGGTCTCCCAAGAAGCTGGGATTACAGGTGTGCACCACCAACTCTGGCTAATTTTTTTTTTTTTAGTAGAAATGGGGTTTTATCATGTTGGTGACATGGTGTGATCTCGGCTGACTGCAACCTCCACCTCCGGGGTTCAAGCAATTTTCTTGTCTCAGCCTCCCAAGAAGCTGGGATTACAGGTGTACACCACCACCCCCGGCTAATTTTCATATTTTCAGTAGAGACGTGCTTTCACCATGTTGGCCAGGTTGGTCTCGAACTCCCAACCTCAAGTGATCAATCCGCCTCAGCCTCCCAAAGTGCTGGGATTACAGGCATGTGCCACCGTGCCCAGCCTGTGAAGCTTGCATTCTAACGGAGGAGACACAGACAAAATGAACCAGGAACACAGTGGGTAAGAAGGTGAAAAGTTCTCCACACAAAAATGAAGTAGGGAGAGAGGAAAGAGACTACAAAGAAGTTGGGTTGCCGGGGGCGGTGGCTCACACCCATAATCCCAGCACTTTGGGAGGCCGAGGCGGGCAGATCACGAGGTCAAGAGATCGAGACCATCCTGGCCAACATGGTGAAATGCTGTCTCTACTAAAAGTACAAAATTAGCCGGGCGTGGTGGCGCGCGCCTGTAGTCCCAGCTACTCAGGAGGCTGAGGCAGGAGAATCACTTGAACCTGGGGGGGCGGAGGTTGCGGTGAGCCAAGATTGCGCCACTGCACTCCAGCCTGGGCAACAAGAGTGAAACTCTGTCTCAAAAAAAACAAAAGAAGTCGAGTAAGGGATGCCGCCATTTGAAACAGGGTGGTCAGCCAGTCCTCTGAGAAGGTGACATTCAGGCAAAGATCAAAGGAGGCAAGAAAGTGAGGCATGAGGGTATCTGGTAGAAGAGCATTCCAGGCAGAGGAAACAGCAAGTGCAAAGGCCCTGAGGCAGGACCGGGTCTGGATGTTCCAAGAGCAGCAAGGAGGCCAGTGTGCTGACACACAGAAGGAAGAGATGAGATCAGAATCACGTCCCTTAAGGCCTTGCAAGATGTCAGCTTTTTTTTTTTCTTCTTTTTTGAGACAGAGTCTCGCTCTGTCGCCCAGGCTGGAGTGCAATGGCGCAATCTCGGCTCACTGCAAGCTCCGCCTTCCAGGTTCACGCCATTCTCCTGCCTCAGCCTCCCGAGTAGCTGGGACTACAGGTGCCCACCACCACGCCCGGCTAATTGTTTGTATTTTTAGTAGAGACGGGGTTTCACCGTGTTAGCCAGGATGGTCTCGATCTCCTGACCTCGTGTTCCACCCGCCTCGGCCTCCCAAAGTGCTGGGATTACAGGTGTGAGCCACTGCGCCCGGCCTGTTTTCTGTTTTTTGAGATGGAGCCTCGCTCTCTTGCCTAGGCTGGAGTGCAGTGGTGCAATTATCGGCTCGCCGCAACCTCTGCCTCCCGGGTTCAAGTGATTTTCCTGCCTCAGCCTCCTGAGTAGCTGGGATTACAGGCACCCGCCACCACACCTGGATAATTTTTGTGTTTTTAGTACAGATGGGGTTTCACCATGTTGGCTGGGCTGGTCTCGAACTCCTGTCCTCAGGTGATCTGCCTGCCTCGGCCTCCCAAAGTGCTGGGATTAGAGATGTGAGCCACTGTACCCATGCAAGTTTCTTAACCCTTCTCTTCCTCATTTTCTCATCTGTGAGACGAAGACAGCCTCCCACCCAGACACACTCCCCTCACGGGGCTCTGGGGAGAAATGATGTGGAAAGCTTTGCTAGTAACCTCTACAGCATGGAGGGAGTTCTGGAAAAGTGATTTCAGAAAGGTGTTTATGCCTGGAAAGCCTGTTCATTTTTGTGATGTCCTTGGAGCTGGGCCAGGCATTATCGAGCTAAATCTTAGCTTTTGTCAGAATAGGGGGGTCATTGAGGGAAATTTCCAAAGGAAGGTGGAACGGGATGGGTGGGGAGGTAAGGGCATGAGCAGAGGCAGTGATCGTGGGCAGGAGGTGTCCATAGAAGACGGGCTGCCACTGGCCCTGGAGACAGAAGGTCAGCCCCGGGTTCAAATCCCTCCTTAACCAAGTGCTGAAATGGACAAGTTGCTCAACCTCTCTGGCCTTCAGCTTCCTCATCTGTCAAGCAGGAATCAAACCTCGAACTTCCTCCCGCTGTTAGAATTTCAAGGGAGTTTTAAAGACAGAGCTTTCAACTCTGACCTGTGAACAAGTGTGACATCAAATGTACTGTTCGTTGCTATTATTCTGTTGCTACAAGGCAGACAGTTAGTTTCCCAGCTCCCCTGCAGTCCCCCCAGCCCCTCCTAGATCTGTCTGCCAGCCCCGCCCCGGGGTCACTCCAGCCAGGCTGTGCCAGGTGAATGCTCAGGTATGCGGAGGCGGAGGCGGAGGCAGGACGGCCCTGGGAGGGAGCAGGAGGAGGGGCCGGCAGCCTGGAAGGGAAAGGACAGCGGAGAGCAGGGCAGAGCCTGAGCAGGCAGGTAAGGAGATCCGGGTCAGGAGAGAAGGGGGCCGGGGCTTGACCAATGGGTCTGAGGGACGGGGGGACTGGGGTCTGGACTCCAGGGTCTCAGGGAGGACGGGCTGGGGGTCTGAACTCCCGGGTCTGAGGGAGGAGGGCCTGGGGTCCTGGACTCCTAGGTCTGAGGGAGGAGGGGCTGAGGGCCTGGACTCCTGGGTCTGAGGGAGGAGGAGATGGGGCCTGGACTCCTGGGTCTGAGGGAGGAGTGGACTGGGGTCTGGACTCCTGGGTCTGAGGGAGGAGGGGACTGGGGTCTGGACTCCTGGGTCTAGGGAAGAGGGACTGGGGCCTGGACTTCTGGGTCTGAGGGAGGAGGGGCTGGGGGCCTGGACTCCTGGGCCTGAGGGAGGAGGGGCTGGGGCCTGGATGCCTGCATTGAGGGAGGAGGCTGGGGTAGGAATTAGAGGCTCCTACTGGCCAGGCCTTCACATGTTTGCTGGCTCCCAGGGCACCTCCAGGTGGGCAGGAGCTACCACTCAGCACCATGAGCACCGCCACAGGGTAAGCGCCCCCGGACCCCAGGTCCCAGCCCCAGCACGCCTCCCGCCTCCCCTCGCCTCCTCACCCACACCCGCTTGCGGCAGCCCAGACTGTTTGCGGCGGCCCAGACTCTGGCCCAAGCCCCGACACTCAGGAGGAAGCCAGAGCCTCTCTCCTCCCTGCCCAGCCTGGGGTTAGGGGCCCCCACTGCAGAGCAGACAGGCCTGAGCTCCAGTTCGGCCCTCACACTCAGTGCTGATGTAACCCTGGTCAGAGGACATCACCTCCTGGAGCCTCAGCCCCTCCTCTGTGACACAGGGACAATGTTGAAAAATTGGAGGGATAGTGCATTACAGGACTTAGCTGACCACCTCACTGACAGCAGGTGCTCAACTCATAGGAGTCGCTATTGCGATTGTTATGTTGTTAGTAAATATTAACCCTTTGCTAGAAAATCAGGGCTGTTTATAATGAAGACTCAAGTCCCCCAGAGTAAGCAGGGAGAAAAACAATGAGAGATGAGTCAAAATACCTGCATGGTAGGTAGTGAGCTCTCTGGCCCAGAGGTAATCAAATTGTGGTGACATCAGACTGGCAGGAGCAGGATGAGGAACAGGAGTTTGGGAAAAAGGGTTTTTCAGTTCCCCTGACGCCACCTGATCGCTGAGCTTCTGTTATGTGCATGCAAGTGGGGATTCAAGAATTCTTAGGAAAGGTAATCTTAGGAAGAAATTGAGGACGGGAGGAGACAGAGAAGGATGTGGTTGGGAAGCACCTGGCCCATGGGAGTGGGAGGGGAAGCAGATAATTCCCTGTCTACTTCAGATACCACTAATGCTATTATAACCATTCCCATTTATTGAGCAACTTCTGTGTGCTAAGCCCTGGCAGCATCTTAAGAATGATAATAACAGTTATTGAGGCTTCAAAATACTTCACCTGCATCATCTGACTGAATTTGCCCAACAGCCCTACCAGATGGTTACTACGTTACAGAAAGAAAAACTGAGGCAGGAGAGATTAAATCCTCTTCTGAAGGTCTTATGGCAAGGAGGCAGTAGACAGAGGGTTTGAATCCCGGACTATGCCATGGTAGAGATCACACTCCCCTACCACCCAGCACCACCGCCTGACCTGACCTGTCTTTTTTTTTTTTTTTTTTTTTTTGAGATGGAGTCTCACTCTGCTGCCAGGCTGGAGTGCAGTGGCACGATCTGGACTCACTGCAACCTCCGCCTCCCAGGTTCAAGTGATTCTCCTGCCTCAGCCTCCCACGTAGCTGGCACTACAGGCGCCCACCACCACACCCAGCTAATTTTTGTATTTTTAGTAGAGACAGGGTTTCACCATGTTGGCCAAGATGGTCTCAATCTCTTGACTTTGTGATCCGCCCACCTCTGCCTCCCAAAGTGCTGGGATTACAGGCGTGAGCCACCGCGCCCAGCCTACCTGTCTTCTTAAAGTCCAGCTCTGGCTCTGAGCTCTCCTGCTCAATAATAATAATAATAATAATAATAATAATAATAATAATAACCCTTCCATCGCTCCCCATTACCTTCGTCATGAAGCCCTTGCTGCCCTGCTTGGCATTTCCACAGGATCTGCCCCCAGTCCCACAGTCTCTCTCATTCCTCTTTTCTTCACCAGCCCAGAAGCTGCCCCAAAGCCAAGCGCCAAGTCTATCTATGGTGAGCGGGGGGCAAGGGAGCCCCAGGCCCATAGAACTGGGTCTAAAGAAACAGGACCTGGCATCCAGGGTCTTGGAGGAGGAGGGGCTGGGGGTCTGGACTCCTGAGTCAGAGGGAAGAGGTGCTGGGGGTCTGGACTCCTGGGTCAGAGGGAAGAGGGGCTGGGGGGCTGGACTCCTAGGTTTGAGGGAGGAGGGGCTGGGGGCCTGGACTCCTGAGTCAGAGGGAAGAGGTGCTGGGGGCCTGGACTCCTGGGTCAGAGGGAAGAGGGGCTGGGGGGCTGGACTCCTGGGTCAGAGGGAAGAGGGGCTGGGGGGCTGGACTCCTGGGTCAGAGGGAAGAGGGGCTGGGGGGCTGGACTCCTGGGTCAGAGGGAAGAGGGGCTGGGGGGCTGGACTCCTGGGTCAGAGGGAAGAGGGGCTGGGGGGCTGGACTCCTGGGTCAGAGGGAAGAGGGGCTGGGGGTCTGGACTCCTGAGTCAGAGGGAAGAGGGGCTGGGGGGCTGGACTCCTGGGTCAGAGGGAAGAGGGGCTGGGGGCCTGGACTCCTGGGTCAGAGGGAAGAGGGGCTGGGGGCCTGGACTCCTGGGTCAGAGGGAAGAGGGGCTGGGGGTCTGGACTCCTGGGTCAGAGGGAGGAGGGGCTGGGGGGCTGGACTCCTGGGTCAGAGGGAAGAGGGGCTGGGGGCCTGGACTCCTGGGTTTGAGGGAGGAGGGGCTGGGGGCCTGGACTCCTGGGTCAGAGGGAAGAGGGGCTGGGGGGCTGGACTCCTAGGTTTGAGGGAGGAGGGGCTGGGGGCCTGGACTCCTGGGTCTGATGGAGGAGGGGCTGGGCCTGGACTCCCAGGCTCATTCTCTTTCTCCCCTGGCAGAGCAGAGGAAGCGTTACTCCACAGTTGTTATGGCTGATGTATCCCAGTACCCAGTCAATGTGAGTCTGGGGTCTGTGTTCCCCCAGGACATCTTCTGGGGCAAAGGTGGCCTCAGGAGATAGGGCTTTTGAAAGCAGCTAGGCCCCCAAGCAGGAAGCATGTGGAAAGTCAGTTTGCCCATCCATAAAATGGACCTCCGTTGCCTCACCTCAGTCATGGATATGAAGCCAGGGGCCTCGGGTCCACTTAATCTGCCAGCCTTTCCTCCAGGCCAGCTGTTGTGCTGGACAGTGGGACCACGGAGGCAAATCAAGACACAGCCCTGCATGAGGAAGGGGTAGACAAGGTCCAGAGGAATCCACAGAGGCGCCTGGTGCTCTAATGGAGGTGGCAGGGGGCATGGCAGGAGACCCGAGGAGGCATTTAGAAGGAGAGAGCTATAATCCAGACTCCTTCCCTGCCCGCAAGGAGCCTCCAGTCTGTGAGAAGCCAGACTCAGGTGCTAGTCACTCTGATGAAAGGGAAACAAAGGGCACTGGGAGGAGGAGCTGATTTGTGGAACAGGTGATCAAGGAAGGCTTCCTGGAGGAGGTGTGGTTAGTCTCAGGCTGAAAGTCTGATTATTCTGGGGGATTCTGAGCCCACCTGGCATCATCTTGGGCCTCACTGCTTTCTCCATGGTCCGTACCAGCACCTGGTGACGTTCTGCCTGGGTGAGGACGATGGCGTGCATACCGTGGAGGATGCCTCCAGGAAGTTGGCCGTCATGGATAGCCAGGGCCGAGTCTGGGCACAGGAGATGCTGCTGCGAGTGTCTCCCGACCATGTCACGCTGCTCGACCCGGCCTCCAAGGTGCCGGGGGGCACGTGGGTGGGAGGAGTGTCTGGGGCAGGGACTTCAGGGGGTCTGGGTGTGAATCTTGGCTCCTGCACGTCCTTCCTCTGGGAACTCTGGCGAGGGACCCCAGCCCCCTTCTTGAGCCTTAATAGCCTCATCTATTAAACAGGGCTGTTATCCCTAACCCCCTAACCGCCTGAGGTTGCCCTGACCTGCTGGCCCACACTCCCGTCGCCATTTAGTAGTACCATCATTTCGGGGCCTCAGTTTACCCCGCCATCCCACCCGGCAGGAGGAGCTGGAGTCGTACCCACTGGGCGCCATCGTGCGCTGTGACGCGGTGATGCCACCCGGCAGGAGCCGCTCGTTGCTGCTGCTCGTGTGCCAGGAACCCGAGCGCGCGCAGCCCGACGTGCACTTCTTCCAGGGCCTGCGCCTCGGGGTGAGCAGATGGGCTGGCTCTGGGGGTGGAGCTGGAACTGGGCGGAGCCTGGAGCCGGGGCGGAAATGGGTGGGGCCTCTAGGTGGGGCGGGGCCTGGGGCTAAGGCGGGATCAGAGCAAGGAAGGGCAGGGGACCTGGGAAGGAAGTTCTGGAAGGCAGTGGGGTTTGAGATTGGACCCAGGGTCAAGATAGAACATGAAGGTGGGATGAGGACATGAACAGAACATGGCCAAGAAGGATCTGGGGGAGCAGCCAGGACGAGGTGGGGGCGAGGAACCACCCGGACTGGGTCTCCATGGGCGGGGTCGTGGCTTAGGGCAGGGACAGGTGTAGGGCGAGGGGTGAGTTCGGGGCGTGGACGTGCGTGGGTTCACAGGTGTGAACGGTAGCCGCACGTGGGCTGGGACTGAGCTGAAAAATCGGCCAGGGGCGAGGCCCGGGTAGGAAGTGGGTGCGGCGTGGGGAGGCGTGGCCTGACGGTGTGATTGGCAGGCGGAGCTGATCCGAGAGGACATCCAGGGGGCTCTGCACAATTACCGCTCGGGCCGCGGGGAGCGCAGGGCGGCGGCGCTCAGGTGAGAGGGAAGAAGTTGGCAGGGTCTCTGGGAAGCCGGTTTCCCCTCCTTGTGCCTCAGTCTACAACACCAGCCTGGAACAGAACAAGAGTTTTGCATGGAGTCAAGCACACCCTAGTCGAGTCTTGTCTGTACCTCCCAGACGAGCTGACCCCTTCTCCAGAACTCTGCTTCTTTTCTCTGTTCCCTGTCCAGGCCCTCAGTTTCACTCTAGAGAGGTGCTATCCCTCCGTATATCGGATTTCTCCCTACCTCGTTGAACTTGTTCACTCCCTTTGAGCCTTTTGAGCCTGTGTGTCTCGTTCTGCGCCCTGGATTTCCCCCTCCCTGGACCCCTCAGTGGACCCAGTCTTGGTGTCCCCGTCGCCCTCCGCAGGGCCACGCAGGAGGAGTTGCAGCGCGACCGCTCGCCCGCCGCTGAGACCCCGCCCCTGCAGCGCCGCCCGTCAGTCCGCGCAGTGATCAGCACCGTAGAGCGGGGCGCGGGCCGCGGACGACCCCAGGCGAAGCCCATTCCCGAGGCAGAGGAGGCGCAGAGGCCTGAGCCGGTGGGGACCTCGAGCAACGCTGACTCGGCCTCCCCGGACCTGGGTCCCCGGGGTCCTGACCTGGCGGTTCTGCAGGCGGAGCGGGAAGTGGTGAGCCGCTAAGGAAGGGGTCTGGGGGCAGGGCCAGGCGACTGGAGGCGGGGCTAGGGCGTGGAAGGGCGGGGCCGGCTGCGGGACGGGCGTTCTCTGGTCAGACTTCTGCGTTATGGAAGAGGGGCTGGGTCGGGGGCGGGGCTTGGTTGTGGGGCGTGGCCAGGTGTTTGGGGCGTGGCCTGATCTGGGGAAGTGTATAGGTGCTCAGGTTCAGGGCTTCGACGGGGATGGTTTTGGAACTCGGGAGCCCTGAGCGTCCCCCTCCTCTGTCCCCTAGGACATCCTGAACCACGTGTTCGACGACGTAGAGAGCTTTGTATCGAGGCTGCAGAAGTCGGCGGAGGCGGCCAGGGTGCTGGAGCACCGGGAACGCGGCCGCAGGAGCCGGCGCCGGGCGGCTGGGGGTAAGGGGCACCCTGGCGTGGGATCTGAACCCCCTCCCGATCTCTTCCAAATGTCCCCGCTCTCCCCAGGCTCTCCCCTCCCGCCACTTGCCAGGGCTGACCTCACCGCCATCTTAACCGGGTGTCCACCTCTCTCTGCCTGCCTGGTGCTGGCCCCGCGTCCCCATCGCCGCGCCCGTCTGCTCCCCTCAGAGGGCTTGCTGACGCTGCGGGCCAAGCCGCCCTCGGAGGCCGAGTACACCGACGTGCTGCAGAAGATCAAGTACGCCTTCAGCCTGCTGGTGAGGACGCGCCCGCCCCTGGGCCGGGGCGCGGGCACGACGAACCTGTCCCGTCCCCGCACCCACGCCAACCACCTCCCTCCCCACGCCCCAGGCCCGGCTGCGCGGCAACATCGCCGACCCCTCCTCTCCGGAGCTGTTGCACTTCCTTTTCGGGCCTCTGCAGATGGTGAGACCCGCCCCAGGCCCTCGGGCCCCCCTGCAGCGGGAGGAATCGGGTTCGACTTGTAGAAGGTGTGGCGGCACAGCCTGCCCCTCCTGCTCCCCTGACAGATTGTGAACACGTCGGGGGGGCCGGAGTTCGCGAGCAGTGTGCGGCGGCCGCATCTGACATCGGATGCCGTGGCGCTGCTGCGGGACAACGTCACTCCACGTGAAAACGAGCTCTGGACCTCGCTGGGGGACTCGTGGACCCGCCCCGGGTGAGGGGCGGGGCTGGGAGGCAGGGGGCATGGTGATTGGAGGAGCATAAGGCGCTGGGAGGTGGGTGGCATGATGATTGGAAAATAGGACTAGGAGAGTAGGGAGGGGTTAGAGGCGTGGCTTAGTTGTGTTGGGGCGGGGCTTAGGACAGATGCCAAGATTCAATTGGAGGAAAGGCCAGGAATTAACGTGAAGGAAAGATTTAAGACCACCAGACCAATCGGATTGAAAGAAAAGGGGGGCTTAAAGGAATAGAGGGGCTAGGGGCTACGGGGCAGGGGCGGGGCTACGCGAAGGGGCGGGGCTTCTGGAAGGTTTGGTCTATAACTTTGGTGATGGGACAGAGTCTGTGCACTGCGGGCTGGCAGTTCCGCAGGGAAAGGGTCAGAACCTGAAACCGACCTTACGGAAAACCTGATTTGGAATCAGGTGAGATTTAGAGGCTGGATAAGGCAATTTTTTTCCAGAGAGAGAGATGGATGGGGTCTCAATATTTTGCCCAGGCTGGTCTGGAACTCCTGGCCTCAAGCGATCCTCCCATCTTGGCCTCCCAAAATGCTGGGATTACAGGCGTGAGCCACCGTGCCCGGTCTAGAAATATAAATTGCTGTTGAGTTGGGCTTAGAGCTACCGGCAGGACTTGGTGAAAAGTGGCGGGGCTAGAATCGTTGGAATACAGCGAGCTTTAGGGGAAAACTTAGTGAAGTTAATGCAGGAACGAAGTTGGGGGCTGTATCAGGATCCCTGAGCTCTTGGCCCTGTCCCTGGCCGCAGGCTGGAGCTGTCCCCGGAGGAGGGACCCCCATACAGACCCGAGTTCTTCAGCGGCTGGGAGCCGCCGGTCACTGACCCGCAGAGCCGCGCCTGGGAGGACCCAGTTGAGAAACAGCTACAGCACGAGCGGAGGCGCCGGCAGGTGACCCAAGCGACACAGCAGGGCCGAGGCTGGGAAGTCCGGGGGCGCGGCCGGTCCGCCTGGCCCCGCCTGACCCGACTGTCTTACTTCCTACAGCAAAGCGCCCCCCAGGTCGCTGTCAATGGGTGAGTGTCCGCCCCAGGGCAGGGCAAGGGGGTCAAGGAGGGGTGCGTCCCGGGGGCTCCCGATGCTGACTCCGCCCCCTTTTTTTCTGTGTTTTTCCTTCTGTCTTCCTGGCTCTTCTCAGGTGGGTGAGATGGTGATGGGGCGGGCCGGGGCTGGGAGAGAGGGAGGAGCAGGGTGGGAGGGGGCGGGACCCAGACTTCTGGGGCTAAGGGAGTTGGGAATGGAGACCCGGATTCCTGGGCCTAAGGGAGGAAGGGGGCTGGGAGTGGGTAAAGTCTGAGAGGTTGGATCCCTGGATCCCCAAAAGGCTGGAAGAAGCCAGTTTGTTTTCCCAGGGCCTGGGAAGCACCATGCCTGGGCTCCCTAGGAGGACAGAGCCCTGGATATTGGAGGGGAGAGGCTGGGGAATTGGACCTTTGGGTTTTGAAGAAGAGCCCAAGTCTGGTGCTTGGGATCCTGGAGACCCAGAGGAGCAGGCTTGGGACTTCAAGGGCTTGGGGGCAAGTTTCTGGGAAAGTTAGGAAGTGGTAGTATCTCTGGGCCCCCGAGAGGGGTAAAGGCTGGACGATTAAACTCTTGGTTTTCCAGAGGCTCTAATGCAATTGTCTAAGTCGCTGCTGGGTGTCGGACTGGGTTAAAAGGTTTGAGGGTTAAAAGGATAAGATTGAAGCTT